>NC_000004.12:89527441-89830471 GCF_000001405.40 Homo sapiens | reverse complement strand
TCCATTACCTGAAACATTTATCATTCCTTTGTGGTGGGAACAGTAAAAATTAAAAATTCTCTCTTCTAGATTTTTGAACATATGCAATAAACTATTGTTAAGTATATCACCCTACAGTACTACAGAATGCTAGAACTCATTCCTCATATTTGGCTCCAATTTCATATTCTTTAACCAACCTCTCCATATCCTCCCCTCCCTCTTACCGTTGTCAGCCTCTAATAATCATAATTCTACTCTCTACTTCTATCTCATTGTCTTTGATTTAGAATATGTTTCATAATTTAACCAAAGGTCAAATTCTTAGGTACTGCTAAGGCAAAGAACAAAGATCGCATTCCAGCTGTTAGACATTTCTTACTACTAGTCATTTTTAAGACAACATGGGGTGCAGGTGGTGAGGATGAGAGATAGAGATTGAAACATATTCTCTTAAATATCAGCTGTTCTCACTCTGCATAGTTCCAGCACAAACAAATTCCAGGTACTATGGTTAGTTAAATAACACCAGCCACTAACAACACAATTCAAATTTCTGTTACCACAGTATACCGAAAGTCATTGCATAAAGTACAAACTTTGCTGCTAACTCTTCAGCCTTCAAATCATTACATAAATAACAGAAACCCATTATAATCAGTGACAAAACCACAGCACTTCTTTCAAAGCTTTTTGGAGATTGGTTGCTTCACATCTGTTATGCAGTTCATACAGACAGCAATGCCCGGACTTGTGTGGCCACATTGTCTCCCAGTGGTGAGCCCATGTGATGTTTCACGAAAATGCGCAATCAAAAGAGGAAACTGGCCAGCAAAGATGAAAGAGTAGCAAACAAAGGAAGTGAAACATTCTGGAAGTAAAATTTGAATCAAACATAAGTTGATGTATACAGGAAGTAGCTACCCTGAGGATGTTGTCACTGCTGCAATTCAGGAGACTCTAAATATGCAGTCAGAGGAACGTAGTGAGGTGAAGGTATCCGTATAATGGGGAAAGAGGTTGTGATAAAGAGTGAAGGTGTCCCAGAGGAAGTGTTGCTGAAAAATACACCTTATGTTAAATACACTGTCAGTATATCATGACATTAAAGTGCAAATGATAACATTTTGTAAACTGATCCAAACTTAAAAAGGAGTATGATAATTCTGTAAAACATAAAAATCATGCCGATTCCATAAATTATACAGTGTGAATTACACTGAAAAATCCAACATTAGAGAGGATATGAATACAATTTTTTACAAGCATAATTTTAATAATACACATAATAATTATTTGTATTCAAGTTTAGTAATGTTCAAGGTTTGGAAGAAATTCTGATCCTGTGTAGAGACCCTAGTTTGAATGTGCTTATAGCCTATTATTACATGTGTAATGTTACATAAATTACTTAACTCGGATTTTTAATTTCATCAGCTATTTAAAATGGGCATAATATAACTATATTAAATGGCTGTTATGAAGATTAAATAAGATGATATGTAAAATGTGTTTTTTGTTTGTTTGTTTGTTTGTCTGTTTGTTTTTTTGAGACAGAGTCTTGCTCTGTTACCCAGGCTGGAGTGCAGTGGCACAATCTTGGCTCACTGCAAGTTCTGCCTCCCGAGTTCATGCCATTCTCCTGCCTCAGCCCCTCCCAAGTAGCTGGGACTACAGGCACCCGCCACCACGCCTGGCTAATTTTTTGTATTTTTGGTAGAGATGGGGTTTCACCATATTAGCCAGGATGGTCTCGATCTCCTGACCTCGTGATCTGCCCACCTCGGCCTCCCAAATTGCTGGGATTACAGGCATGAGCCACTGCGCCCAGCCTAAAATGTTTTTTTTACATAATGGGTGTTCAGCACATGTTAAAGCCTTCTCTCCATCCTTCTTCCCTTTTGTTTCATGGGTTGACTGATCTGTCTCTAGTGCTGTACTTTTAAAGCTTCTACAGTTCTGAATTCAAAATTATCTTCTCACTGGGCCCCGGTGTTATCTCATTCTTTTTTCTCCTCTGTAAGTTGACATGTGATGTGGGAACAAAGGGGATAAAGTCATTATTTTGTGCTAAAATCGTAATTGGAGAGGACCTCCTGTTAGCTGGGCTTTCTTCTATTTATTGTGGTGGTTACTGGAGTTCCTTCTTCTAGTTTTAGGATATATATATATATTTTTTTCTTTCCCTGAAGATATAATAATATATATACTTCTGAAGATTGAGATTTTTAAATTAGTTGTATTGAAAACTAGCTAATCAGCAATTTAAGGCTAGCTTGAGACTTATGTCTTGAATTTGTTTTTGTAGGCTCCAAAACCAAGGAGGGAGTGGTGCATGGTGTGGCAACAGGTAAGCTCCATTGTGCTTATATCCAAAGATGATATTTAAAGTATCTAGTGATTAGTGTGGCCCAGTATTCAAGATTCCTATGAAATTGTAAAACAATCACTGAGCATTCTAAGAACATATCAGTCTTATTGAAACTGAATTCTTTATAAAGTATTTTTAAATAGGTAAATATTGATTATAAATAAAAAATATACTTGCCAAGAATAATGAGGGCTTTGAATTGATAAGCTATGTTTAATTTATAGTAAGTGGGCATTTAAATATTCTGACCAAAAATGTATTGACAAACTGCTGACAAAAATAAAATGTGAATATTGCCATAATTTTAAAAAAAGTAAAATTTCTGTTGATTACAGTAAAATATTTTGACCTTAAATTATGTTGATTACAATATTCCTTTGATAATTCAGAGTGCATTTCAGGAAACACCCTTGGACAGTCAGTAAAATGTTTATTGTATTTATCTTTGTATTGTTATGGTATAGCTATTTGTACAAATATTATTGTGCAATTATTACATTTCTGATTATATTATTCATTTGGCCTAAATTTACCGAGAATTTGAACAAGTCAATTAGGTTTACAATCAAGAAATATCAAAAATGATGAAAAGGATGATAATCATCATCAGATGTTGAGGAAGATGAGGATGAGAGTGCCAGAAATAGAGAAATCAAAGGAGAACCAAAATTTAACAAATTAAAAGCCCACAGACTTGCTGTAATTAAGTTTTCTGTTGTAAGTACTCCACGTTTCCTGGCAGATGTGGTGAAGCAAAAGATATAATCAGAAATATAATTTATATAATCGGAAAGCATTAAACACAATAGTGCCTATACAAATAAAATGTTCCTATCACTGACTTCTAAAATGGAAATGAGGACAATGATATGGGAATCTTAATACAGTGTTGTGGATATGACTAAAAACACAGGAGTCAGATCTTCTTGGTTCAACTTCCTGCTTACTCCTTACCAGCTGTGTGTTTTTTGCAAGATTCTTCACCTCTGTGTGATTTAGCTTCCTCATCTATAAAATAATTCAGTGAATTAATGTACACAAAACATCTGGAAAACAAAAGCAAACAATATGTATTTTATAAGTGTTACTTATAGTTTTATAGTGAACTTTCTTGTGCAACATTTTTACAACTAGTGGAGAAAAATATTTCTTTAAATGAATACTTTTGATTTAAAAATCAGAGTGTAAAAATAAAACAGACTCCTTTGAAACTAGTTCTGTTAGAAGTTAATTGTGCACCTTTAATGGGCTCTGTTGCAATCCAACAGAGAAGTAGTTAAGTAAGTGGACTATGATGCCTTCTAGGGACCTCCTATAAATATGATATTGTGAAGCATGATTATAATAAGAACTAGATAACAGACAGGTGGAGACTCCACTATCTGAAGACGGTCAACCTAGATGAATGGTGTTCCATTTAGTAGTTGAGGAAGAACCCATGAGGTTTAGAAAGCAGACAAGCATGTGGCAAGTTCTGGAGTCAGTGGTAAAAATTAAAGAACCCAACTATTACTGTCACCTGATGATCTAATGGAGACTGTGGAGATGGGCTGCATTTTTTTAGTCTTTTCCAGAATGCCAAAATGTAAACACATATCTGTGTGTGTGTGTGTGTGTGTGTGTGTGTGCGTGTGTGTGAGAGAGAGAGAGAGACTGAAGTTTGTACAATTAGACATTTTATAAAATGTTTTCTGAAGGACAGTGGCTCACAATCTTAAGTTTCTAACATTGTACAATGTTGGGAGACTTTGTATACTTTATTTTCTCTTTAGCGTATTAAGGAATCTGAGATGTCCTACAGTAAAGAAATTTGCATTACATAGTTAAAATCAGGGTTATTCAAACTTTTTGATTATTGAAAACTTTCTTCATTAGTTACTAGGGTTGAATGAAACTAGTGTTCCACAGAAAACTATGGGAAATGTTGCTAGGCAGTAAGGACATGGTGATTTCAGCATGTGCAATATTTACAGCGATTGCACCCATGGACCACCCTGGCAGTAGTGAAATAACCAAAAATGCTGTCATAACTAGTATGGCTATGAGAAACACATTGGGATAAATCGGCTGCTATCATAATCATTCCTCTCCCACATCAGATAAATGAATTAACTTTTTGAATAGGGTTATTTAATATAAAGTGCTTAAGTCTAATTATGAGAAGAAATAAGATAATTACACTTCAATGGTTAAAGAGAGGGAGAATAATTTGCATATTATGCCTGATGTAAAATGTTTATTATGGGTACATATTAAGTGCTAACTAATTGTTAATTGTTCTTGCTACAAGTCTTAATGCAGGGAAACAAGAAATTATTACATAGTACCTAATATTATCTTCTAATATTAAAGAAACAATTTCCCCTAAATTCATCCCATTAGCTTTTTTTTTTTCGGTGGGGCAGGGGAGAAATACAGACTTCAGTAAACTTGGGCTGGGAACTTTCTACCTACAAAGTTCAAATAAAATAAATTATCCTAGTTAGATAATATCAATGAAAAATCCACCAACTTAAATCCTGGCTGTTTGATCTCAGGAAATTATTTCAGTTATCAACTTAATGCATCATATTATAGAAATATATGAAAATGTGTTTAATTAAACTTACTGAATGATATGTTTTTTCAGGTACTTTAAAAATAAACTATGATATAAAGTTACCTATTTTTCATGCAAGTATAGTATAAAGAAATTTCTAACACTGGAGATTTTCTGAAGGTTTTGATTCTTATAAATTTATTACATCATAATGAACAAAACTAATTTTCAACATATTATGATTTAAATTTCCTTAGTAAATTGTTTCAAATTTATTTTCTTTAAATCCATATTTACATATGTATATTTAAATATACATATTTACTTGTATAACAATTCAAAACCATATATTAATTTTATAATTTTGTTTAATGTCAAAGGTTAGATTTGGCTATATCTATTCTAAAAGTTGGTATCACATTTCCTTTTTGGAATTTTATTTTTAAAGTAGCTAAAGTCAAATATAAACCTATTATTTATATTAATGCAGACATTAGAGGTAGACACTAAATTCATTTTAGTATATTCTAAATTATTTATTATCTACTATGAAATAATATAAAGAAAAATAAAGCAGAATCCCTGATTTCAAAGAACTCAATTGCCGAAAAACAGTTACCATTTATTAGACCCAAAATGTACTAATATGAGTGTGTCTCTTTTCCTTTTGTTTTGTCACCCGTCATTTGGAATGTCAGTGAGTAGAGAGATAGTGTGAAAGGCCCTCAAGGGGAAAAATAGAGGTTAAAGGTCAGCAGAGACCCTACTAGAGAAATCAGTTCTACAGAAATGTTTTTAAATGTGTCGATTATTGCTACATGTACACTCTGTCATTTTGTAATGTAGCCATTTTATTTATGATTATAATAATAAAACAACAAAATTATAATAATGTGTAGAGTACATTTTACTGTGCAGTGTATTGCATTAAAACTAGATTAAAATTTATACATATATAAAAGGCTATCTAGATATTATAAAATTTATGGCTGGATCTGTAAAAAATTCAAAACCTATTTTTAATCTCGCTTTGAGATTTTATAACAAGAAAATGTTCGTTTCAAGCAAAATTTTCAATTCACGTCCTTGAAAAGGAAAAAAATGACAACTTGAAACACATAATTGACTATTTTTAAAGGATCAACATTTCAGAAATGTTTTAAAACATAAGATTTTCAGTACAGCTTTTCGCTGGCATTTAAATCGAACTTTGAATTGTAAATAGCTCTTGCTCTTAAGGAGACATCAGCCATATCCTTAGAAGTGGCACGGAGTTGTTAGGTAGTTGTACAAAATTCTAGCCTAAAAGACAAATAGGGAGCAACACTACTGTGGACCGTTTCTGGTCTTGGGCTGTGTGGCTATGTCAGGCTTGCCCACATTGCCTGTACTAAGGAGAAAGCCTCTTGTCCTTACAGACCCCCTTAGCTTACATAGTCTATTTGAAAACAAATTGCTTTGTCCACACCATTTAAATATTGGCTTCAGGCCAGGCGCGGTGGCTCACGCCTGTTATCCCAGCACTTTGGGAGGCTGAGGCGGGCAGATCACGAGGTCAGGAGATCGAGACCATCCTGGCTAACACGGTGAAACCCTGTCTCTACTAAAAATATAAAAAAATTAGCCGGGTGTGGTGGCGCGCACCTGTAGTCCCAGCTGCTGGGGAGGCTGAGGCAGGAGAATGGCCTGAACCCGGGAGTCGGAGTTTGCAGTGAGCCGACATCGTGCCACTGCACTCCAGCCTGGGTGACAGAGCAAGACTCCGTCTCAAAATAAATAAATAAATAAATAAATAAGTAAATATTGGCTTCTTCAACTGGTGAGATGAAACCTATACAATAGTCATGTGAATAGCACTAAACAGCTGACATGGTGTAACTCCTCTCAGACTGAGGCTTATCTGGGGAGTACAAAGCATGTCAAGAAAATGTGCCTTCATTTCCTTAGATGAGTGTCCCCATCCTCCACTCTCCTCCACTGTTCTCCTCTCTGCTTCTATGATATCAACTTTTCTTTTTCTTTAGATTCCACATGAGTGAGATCATGTGGTTGTTTGCCTTTCTGTTTCTGGCTTATTTAACTGAACAAGAAAGTTTTTGACATGAAATTAAACTTCTGCTTGTAAACTCAATTCAAACTATTTACACTGTCTTCTCAAAAATGTTAACTTATTTTAATAAATCTACTGAATGACCGTATCTCATTTTGTTTTATGAAAAGAAATTGTAAGGGTGCTCAATAGCCTCTTCATTTTCATACTGTCTAGCTCCTGTGCTCCTATTAAAATTACTGCAAATTTAGCTTTTTAAGAACCCTTTGTTTCACTACCTGAAGTTCTATAAAAAGATCCAAGTTCCTTCACAACCGTTTCTTATGCTGTTATTCGTACATATGTGATAATACCACGTCTGAACACGTAG
Source organism: Homo sapiens (assembly GCF_000001405.40). Lineage (NCBI taxonomy): Eukaryota > Metazoa > Chordata > Mammalia > Primates > Hominidae > Homo > Homo sapiens. The sequence continues at coordinate 89,823,162 of NC_000004.12, read as the reverse complement.
ATAATAAGTAGGGGCTGGGTGCGGTGGATCATGCCTATAATCCTAGCACTTTGGGAGGCTAAGGCGGGTGGATCACCTGAGGTTAGGAGTTCGAGACCGGCCTGGCCAACATGATGAAACCCTGTTTCTACTAAAAATACAAATAATAATAATAATAATAATTAGCCAGGTGTGGTTGTGGGCACCTGTAATCCCAGCTACTCGGGAGACTGAGGCAGGAGAATAGCTTGAACTCAGGAGGCGGAGGTTGCTGTGAGCTGAGATTGTGCCATTGCATTCCAGCCTGAACAACAAGAATGAAACTCCATCTCAAATAAATAAATAAATAGAAGTATGTATTGTGTTGCTTAGAAGGTGTGGTGGAAATTAACTTGCTGAGTGAGATCAAAGGATTGGCACTGAATTGAAATAAAGAAATATTCATGCTGAGTCTGGTTCAAATATAACTGCACCTGTAAGAATTGCTTTCTGTAAACTTTCCATAGTATAAACCAAATCCAAATCACTCATGGCTTTACATTCCTGATCGTTAAACTTGAAGCACTTTTTAATACTGCATGACTTTAGCCAAAATATCTTAGCCAAGATTCAATGTTTGGTTGAACCACACTCACTTGGACATCTTGGTGGCTTTTGTTTCTTCTGACCACTCAGTTATCTATGGCATGTGTAGATACAGGTGTATGGAAGCCGATGGCTAGTGGAAGTGGAATGATTTTAAGTCACTGTTATTCTACCACCCTTTAATCTGTTGTTGCTCTTTATTTGTACCAGTGGCTGAGAAGACCAAAGAGCAAGTGACAAATGTTGGAGGAGCAGTGGTGACGGGTGTGACAGCAGTAGCCCAGAAGACAGTGGAGGGAGCAGGGAGCATTGCAGCAGCCACTGGCTTTGTCAAAAAGGACCAGTTGGGCAAGGTATGGCTGTGTACGTTTTGTGTTACATTTATAAGCTGGTGAGATTACGGTTCATTTTCATGTGAGGCCTGGAGGCAGGAGCAAGATACTTACTGTGGGGAACGGCTACCTGACCCTCCCCTTGTGAAAAAGTGCTACCTTTATATTGGTCTTGCTTGTTTCAGGCATTAACCCAGATAAATGCCATGCAAATTTTATAATTATTATGATTGTTTCAATTTCTGGAAGAAAGTTAATGAAACAAAAAATGTAGTAAAATGCCAAAGGAACAGTGACATTTCAGAAAGAATGAGGGCTTTCATGTTAATTGTAAGTCTTGGAATTTCTCTTCCTTGGAGTAACAAATCCCTTTGTGCCTAATTTCCTAATTTCCAAAATAAAGTTCTTTTACTTATTTCTTTATAGTGACATCATCTCTTATTAAATGGCATATCTGCATATTACATAACAGTTCATTGCCAAATACATATTTGTGGGAAATGAGAGACTTAAAATACATACCAACCAGAGATATAGTTTTGAGGTAGATTTTAAAATTCTGAGAAGAATTTTGACTGAATTTTTTTGACAAACATGGGACACGAATAAGATTATACCAAAGATATTATAACTTTCATTTTAAATATGGAACTAATACAGTATGAGGTGTCAACAACGTTGAAGTTTCACAAACATCACCACTACAACAGCAAAATAATTTTTGCTTTTTCCCTGCCACAATGACCTCCTTGCTATTTCTTGAATAAATCAAGCATACCCTTGCCCTGACACGTTCTTGGGGAGGCCTGCCCTAATCTATATAAAATTGGAGCCATTCTTCTCACCTCTGGTATTCCCAGTCTCCCTACTTTTTTTCCTTCTTTCTTTCTTTTTCTTTTTCTTTCTTTCTTTCCTTCTTTCTCTCTTTCCTTTCTTTCTTTTCCCTTCCTTCCTTCCTTTCTCCCTTCCTTCCTTCCTCCCTCTCTCCCTCCCTTCCTTCCTCCCTTTCTTTCTTTCTCTTTTTTCTTTCTTGCTTCCTTCCTTCCTTCTTTCCTTTTCTTTCTTTTTCCTTTCTTTGCCAAAGTGTTATTCACCTTTAAATATAATACATAATGTGCTTACTTTAATGTATGATTTTTATTTTATTTCTCCCTTCTAGAATGTAGGCACCATGAGAGTGAAATATATTTATTTTGTTCATTGATATTTCACAAGTGTCTGGGAGAGTTTCCAACTTACAGTAGACAATTAACAAACATTTATTAAATTAAGGAGGGAAGGAAGTGAGTAAGCACAACAACTTTCATTTCTGGGTCTTTTATAATCATATGCTTAGTATAAGAACAGTGCTATTCAGCTATCCAAAAGTTACAATCAAAATGATTTTGGATGAATATCTTGAAAATTGTGAGAAAGAAGTTTTATTTGCTGGCAAACTATTCTGGGTTGTTTCCACTTCATGTAATCCTAAGTAGCAGCCTTACCTTGATAGCCCATTAAAACTCTGATAATAAAAAGGCAGAACAAAAATATCTGTGATATATTTAGATTTACTACATGTACTTACATGTCTAGTGTCTGGTGCAATGGATGCTAATGATGGCAAATCCTTACTGGGCTTCTAGTGAAGTTCTTCAGCTAATGTTTGAATGCATGGTTGGTCATGGTGGTACCCCTTTGTACAAAATATGCTTTTCAAATAATCTTATTAGGGATAATAATTATATTAATTCCTGGTTTCCATCTAAAATTTTAATTCTATTTATAGCTTCGTAAGATTTCACAAGTTAAGAGGGACCTCAGATTAAATTAGTACACAGGCAATTAATCAGTTTTGTGTCTCCGACCCTTTTCACGGGCTAATAGAAGCTATAGACCCTCTTAGCTTCAGAAAAATGCGCACTCACATACGCACATCAAAGAGCTTAATGGGAAGTCCATTGACAGACCCTCTGTTCAGATCAATCTTCTGATTGTAGAGATGAGGAAACAGAAATCTACAGAGGAAGTGGGTAGTCCAAGATTGCACAGTCATTTGGAATAGACTGGACACCAGTAGTACTTTTCCAGCCACTATATCACTTCCCCAAGCACTTCCTCAAAACTTACCTTCCTTTGGGTCTTTATACATTCAGTTATGGACAACTAGATTTAACTAGAGGATTTTATTGCTTCAGAATATTAAGCAACAGGGAAACATGTACCGTCTTTTATTCACCTGCATTTAAGGCATACAATATAAATTGCAAATGGAGCATGAAAGTGCTTAATCTTTTACAAAACTGGGTTTGCTTTCCACCCATCTAAAAATACTTCTATTTATTTTAATATTTAAAGCAGAAATCTAAGTGATGTGACAAAATTAATCATTTGGAGATATTTCCCTTATAGGTAGTATAGTTTCTTACTGATTTCTAATATGAAAATGAAGCCATAGAACCTAGAAATTGCAGCATAGTTGTGGAAATAAACATTGGACTGAGAGTGAAAATGGCTAGTCTTCCTCTCTGCTCATACACCACCTGACTGGATAACCTTTCGCAGATCTCCTAAAAGTCTTTCTCATAAAATGAGGAAGCTCTACTAGAAAATTGTTGAAGTCTAATTTAGCAATAAAGTTCTGAGTTTCTATAATAATTCAAAGAATACTCTAATAAATGTCTGCAATTGTGGTCACATCTATGGGATGCTAAAAAATCTGGATGGTTTCAATGAAAGTATTTAATTTGTTCATTATGAACTTTGAAATAATTTATTTCATTTTTTAAACTTTGATCAAAATGACCCTGGTAAATAGAAATAAGCAAACTCTTTTTGCTTGAAATGCTTATTAATGACTGCATTGAGACACTCATTCATCATTCAAGAAAGAATGTTTGCTCACACTGTGCCAGAAACTTGGAGGAAGAGGGATGTGACAAGTAGGGGTACTGGATGTCTAGCTTGTAGAAGTGGATTAATGGCTCTGCTTTTAAGATCAGGAACACTGAAAGGGAGTAATGGCACCGGTTTTCACCTTTCATGCCCTTTGAGGGTATCTGGTCCATCACCCTCTAGTTGATGAGGGAGGGAAAGTTCCCTCTCCCTTCACAAATAGGTGGAAATTAAATGACATAATTCTGAACAACCAATAAATCGAGAGTAAATCAAAGCAGATACCTGTTTTGTTAATTTGATCATATGAATGTAGCTGCCCTTAGTAATAATTTCTAAGTATAAGACTAGTTAAAGGACAAATGAGTTATCTTGAATTATAAGATTTTGTTTTACAGAACAATATTAACTCTTGTGTTTAGTACATTAGAATAATAGATCTTTTGATCCATATTTTTACTCATGTGCACATAAGAAGTTATCAGTCATACAATTCATTTCTTGAAGTTCATACCTTTCATTGGCAGAGTAGAAACAGGTTAAAAGTGCACAGGCAGAAATTTTAAGTGCAAAGCAACAGTGATGTTATATAGAGAAAATTTATATTTCCTACTTCTATTGAAGAAGAAAGATCTGCTTGTTCTAAGAATATTGTACAAAGAAAGTGACTTGAATCAGCGTTATTCTGTAATGCTACTATGCGTGCAGTGTGGAGTAGCCACTAGAACACTTGGTCTATCCCAGCTCCTCAACAGTGTCTTGCTTGTGGCTGGTGCTCAAATAAATCCTTGCTGAACTAATGAGCATCTCTTTCATGCCACATGGAATGCTCTAAAAGAGTTGGATCCTGAAGTTTTTATATTTTTGTAATTTTCTGGAGTTTTAGAGAGCAAAAGTCCTGAATAAACTGTGAAGCCACTGCCTGACAAATAATACAGCAGTCAGCTTCGTTATCATATCCCATTGAGACACGACTTATCTACATGATGATTAATAGTTTTCACGCAAGAAATAAGCTTGAAATGTCTGTTGCCTTGGATACTTAAAACATCCAGGTTCAGCGATGTTATTTATTGTTGTTCAAAATCAGAATGAAGTTCCTAAGCAATGCCATTTTGGAAAAATTACATCAATATATTATGAACAACTTTTTTTAAATCTTGATTTCAAATGGATTGACACGTGTATATTCTGTAATAATCCTGACTTAATTCATAAAAGGATAGCTAGCCAGTTGTGTGCTAGATGAATAAAAAAAAAGCAGGTTTTAAAATGTCAGGTTTGACATTGTGAATATAATATCTAAGTATCCTTTTACTCATTTCCTTTGACTTACTATGGCTGTCATGTTGGGCTTCATGAAAATTTATTTTTAAACACTTGAGTGTTATGGACCCTCTGATTAAATGATTAATCAGATGATGTATGTTGCCATCAGCTGAATCATTTAATGTTGATTTCACAAACAAGCACAGGTCACAGGCAACATTTCAGATTTCTTTGAAGAAGCACACACAGGTCACAGGCATAATCTTAAAATAATTTTATAACAAGGTAGTAATAAGAGATGTCAGGACTGGAGAAATATTTTAATTTATAGTAAGCTTTCCCCTTAAGTGTCTAATAATTGTTAATATAATACATTGCCTCAAATAATTAAAAGTTTGGTTCTTGTCCTTGTGCTTGACTTCAGAAGATAACCAGATGACTATTAGGTATATTTAGACCTAAATTAAAAGCTTTGAGACACAATGAATTGCCTGATTTGTATTTGTGTTTCGAGTGGCATATACTATTACTGGCACTATAATCTTAGATTAAAGCATACTGTGATTATTAAAGAAAAATTTAAGATTGATTTGTTTCTAAAGGTATGTAACAGTGACATTTTGCAATGTGGTATGTAAAAGTTGGTATTTCTCACTCATATGAGAGCCCACTAATGGTACATAAACTGTCCCCACTTAGAAACACAATTATTATGGCCTTTCTTTGTATCTGACAAAATTTCACTGGGTTCAAGATGGATGAATAGTGAATTCTAATGACCCTTAATCCTGTAAGGTTCTAGGTGGGAAAGTACTCTGTAATTATGTATAAAATTATAAGGAAAATAGGCTTACTGCTATGTTTTCATTAAAAATCATTAACTGAGTACTTAATATGTGCCAGACACTCAGCTGGGCACCATGAGAAATACAAAACTGAGTAACATATGGGTGGCTCCTGCCTTCAAGAAATGGGCAGTTCAGGCCGGGAGACTGACATATTTACCCTGGGAAAAAGGGAGCAGCTGTGGTCTCTGAGAACAATATGGTTTGTTACAAGTATATATCCATCATGGAAAAAAAGAGATTTATCTTAGAAATGAGAGAGGCTGATGCTCTCAATAAATATCATACATTAAATTGTGTTTTTGTCAGTAGACTGAAATTACCTCACATACACGCACAGATAGTAGCCATGATATTTTAGCTGCTTAGATATAGAGACAAATACTTCCACCCAAATCTTAGGATCAGTGGTTAATAGTCTGTAAGCATTACAATCCCACAACATATGCATGACTATACATCCAATTTTAATATTCAAAGAACTGATTGCGATGATAGTTTTGTTTGTCAAAGAAATGTATTATAGGATGAGTGGGATAGAACTGCATCACGTTACACCAACAAATAGGTTTAAATCATATTTGTGCACTTCCCTTGTTCCTTCATAAATGTTTAACATAGCTTAAAATTCTGTGGACTGCAACGTGAGAGCAATGACCACACTTCTGTGAACCCATTTTTACTGTGCATGTGCTAACGTCTATTGTTAGTATTCCTTCACTTGCAAAGATGGCATGATAATTTTGCTGGTTTCATTAATGAGATACTGTTAAATGTAGGATGACTTCAAACTTAGTTGTATTGTAAAATTATTTTTAATTGTATACATTTAAGTTGTACAGCATGATGTTTTGAGATACTTATCTTTATTTATATATATATATAATATACACACGTATATAAAAGTGATTCCTACATTGAAGCAAATTAACATACCCATCATCATATGGTTATCTTTGCTTTTTTACTATCAGTGCCTAAAATCTACTTTCTTGAAAAATTACCAGTATGCACTACAATATTATTAACAATAATCTTCATGTTGTACATTAGATCTTTAGACTTACTCATCTTACATGACTTAGGTTTGTTTTTACCTCTACTACCATCTGAGCCATATTTCCACTTTGTAATTTGATAATAAACTTGGAAAAATAGCACTTATATGTTTAGGTGACGGGCATAAATAGGATAAGATGTGTTTATATATTATTCCATATATCTTGTCTCCAACTACAATGATAAACAACCTGTTTGTCCCTAAAAAGTAAGAAATAACTTGACTTTTCTGCCCCTTCAAGCATAGGCTGTTAGCTTTTAAGTTTTAGGGAGACATTGATGATGCTATTTGCTTTATCAAGAGGAAATTGTCAAAAGAGGTCTTTTGGTTCTCAAACTATTCAAAGTATTTAAAAATCAGGACAAAATATGTTTACGTGATATTCAAGGGTACAGAAATGAGGTAAATGAGATGCCAATTGTATTTGTCATGCAAATATATAATTACGTGTATGAGAGTTAGATGATACATCTCATCAATTTAATTGTTCTTCTACAAGGAGAAAATGAACAATTTGTCAACTCGTATATGAAGTAATTTTTATAAGAAATTTTATTAAAACTTTTAACAACATTTGGATTTTTAAGTTGCAATTTAAATATCCCCTTCTACCAGGTGATTCTGGAATCACTAAGCAGTTACTTGTGAAAATTCCAAAGTAGCATTTAATTCTTATTAATGTCATAGTGAATACTAATGCAAAGAATACTGAGCCAGAAATTATGCTTGTTGAATAAATAGATTATTTATTGAACAAGTAAGTGAAAAAATGGAAATAAAGAACGGATATATATTTTATCTTCCTGCTTAGATGTGGGACTGTCCTACTTTTCTCTGGTGTTCACAACAACAATATGATAAATCTAATTGGAATTCAGTTCATAGGAATGAATTCAGTTACATTATGGATTGTGATGAATAATGTACACTTTTAATTTAATGAAATCAAATAGATTTTAACTATCTATGCTTACAATGGGGTGACATAAGTCTGACAATCCTTAATATCAAGTCATCTCCAATTCACATGTATACACACTTTTTTTCTATTTGGCTATTGGGAATCCTCACAAAAATCGAAAATTGCCCTTTCAGTGTACGTTACGGTATTTCATGCCACACAGATTTTCTGAGGTTGTACATACAGCTTTGCCTTGAGGTTCCAATTTTTGCTCAGTGGATTGAGTATATATTATTTGCTATATATCAGAAGAGGCATGTGCTTCCTACTTATGTCAGGTAACTTTGGGATTAATATAATTGTCCTACAAAGCATAGATAGATAGAAATACTTCATCCTTAATTTCTAATATTATGACATATCTAAAGTAGGCACCTTTAAAAGTTAATCTCCACTAAATACTAATGACTGCTTATAGTGGCAATTCATCTTTCATGGTAGTCCTCCTACAAAGGTATACTAACATTTATGAGTTTGAAACAAAGGCAATTCACAAGTGTTCTGCTAGAGATGGTCTATATCTGCTGTTTGATCCAGCATGATGGCCAGCTGGCCCTCCTGTGCATGACGGCTCGTGGTTTAACTGCACCATTTTGTTTGGTCATATACAGGGAAAACATGGCATGGTGTGGAGGGCATGGGCTTGAATTCAGGGAACAGAGAGTTGGTCTTCTCTCTCTCACTCTACTGGATGATGTCATCTCCCCTCTCTAAGCATGAGTTTTCTTATCTGTGAAATAAAAATGTTGAATTAAATGAGTTCAAAATGCTTTCAGTCTGTGTTTAATAGCTTGAATCTTAAGACAATGTATTCAATTATGCGTTGCCAGATCCCTGGCAACTCATGTAACCTTTCTAAACCATAGCTACTCATCTGTAACTGGCCAGCCAACTGCCCAGGGTTGGAGTGTGAATGAAATAAGATAATGCAGACAAAAGATTTTTAAAAATTGTAGTGCATTATACAGTTGTAATATTTTGCCAAGAACTTACATTTTCTCTAAGAAGTGTGTCGATACATGATCACAGAAAATCTTTTCCATATTCCTTTGTAGTTTGATGATATTAAGTAAGTAAATTGTATAACACAAAGAGGGAAAAGCATCACTGAACATGCCGTTTTATTTAGCTAAATAAAATGTAATCACTATTAGTTTTCCTCTGATTTCCCCAAAGTCATGTGATTCCATTGAGTATTATGCACATGGTATAATTAGAATGGATTCTCTGCTCAAATAATTTTGGGAAACATTTAAATTAACAAAGTTTAAAAGTATCTCTGTTAAGCTGAAGCAAATCTCAAAGGCCTTAATATTGTATGTAAGAGGAATAGTTACCATCTTTCCTAATGCCTCTTTGACGCCAAACCCATGGAGAATAGTTCTAGGTGTTCAGTAAAACACAGATTTGGGATGCCACAGGTTAATTGGAACTGTCCCCTGCAATCCTTTTCTCTTTTTCTTAATAATGGCTGATTGCAGGTCCTAGATGAAAGACATTTAGAGAGATTATCAGGACTCAGCATCCCATATCAGAATCCATTCTTTTATAGTCATTTTCTGTTACATTTCTTGGGACAACACCAAAGAAATGACCATCTTCATTCACATAGGCTTTGTACCAAATGCTGACAAAGATCCTTGGTGACCTAGATGGGGGCAGGTCTAAGTAGATTGCAGCTGTAAAATTGGCTGATGAATGATCTCAGCCCCTTTTACTCACACTCAAAGGCAGGACAGTCCATTAAGGGGAAGGAGGGCAGAGTTTTTCCTTAGGCCAATTCCCTATGCCAGAACTTTTTAGAATGGAAGCATTTCCAGAGGAGAAACAACCCCAAGCACAGTTCAAAGCCCCCTCCTCCCAAGTTCATTTGAAAGTGGGATGGTTTATCTGCAAAGGGGGAAAAGATGAGGGATAGGGACGGGAATATCCCTACCCTTCAGAGAGTCTGGTTTCATCCTGCACTTTTACTGCACAGCCACAAATGCCTTGGGGTGAATCTACAATATGATACATCATATGGTCTAAACGTGCCTGGCTGATCCTCTCTAATACTTCAGGGGTCTAAAAGGGATAACATGCTCTCCTGTTACTCACCGACTCTGTCCGCCATATTTCACCCAGCCAGCCACTGCCTTCACTTCCGTCCGAGGCCTAATCTGAGCCCATGGGAAACCTAAGAACCCCTACCACAACTGCCTCAACTCTTGGGAATCAGGGTGTATGGGGGTGACAGGAAGTGAGCATACATTCTCCAACTTGATATGTCAGCCCCCACGTCTGTATGAATGTTTGCTCACACTGTGACTGCCGGCCTTGCTCCTCAGGCTGCATCCTACCAGGGAGTAAGACCCAAGTCCTTCCTGCTTTCAGACAACACCAAGCCTCATGAGTCCCCACTCAGAGGAAGGACCAGAGACAAACTCTAATGTTCCACTAATACTTCCCTTCTTATTACTTTCCTTGAAAATCCCTTCTCCCTCTTTCTTTTTATACTTCGCTAATGAAAGGTAATGAAAGGGTCTGGCACTTGGAATTTAGAATTGATACATGGTTTTTAACCCGCGGACGTATTCCACAATAACCCTTGCATCTTCTACTAAGATGTGGGCTAGGAAGGGACCAGCCAGTTCCCAGGGTCACAGTGCCTCAGCTGATGTTTCATATTTTCAGCAACTTTATGTTAGAGATGTCCATCAATCAGAACAATATGGTTAGAGAATAAACTAATAAAAGTCATTTTTGAGGACATGTTGGAAGTCTATCAAAAGCATTGAAATTATGCATGCTCTGACCAGTCGCATGTCTAAGAATTTAAATATGATCATAAGTTTAAATATGAAGATGTTTATCACAGAATTGATTATAAAACAAAATTGAAAAAAATAGTGCTAGAAGTTTGATCATAGGGACCTCATTAAATGCATTATGGTTGATCCATGCAGTGGTTTGCTGAACAGCCATTAAAATGTTGTAGAATAATTATTAATGGTGTGGAAGGATGCTATTGTTGCAGTATGTGAAAAGAACAAATTACAAAGCAGTTTGTGCAGCATAATATTTTTATTTTTTAAAAACCTGTATGTGGCTTATGTACATATAAAGACGTGGAATAAATGCACAAGGTACTCAGTTTTTCTCAGTGAAGCCCATTTTGCATTTTGGGCTGGGTAATTCTTCGCTGTGGAGAACTCTCATTCATTGTAGGATGTTTACAAGCCCTGGGCCTTACCTCTTTAACGCCAGTAGGCACCCCCAGCATGGCAACAAGCACAAAATGGTCTCTCTCATATTGCCCTTGAGGAAATTTTGCAACTAAGTAACTATTACTGGGTCCTAGATTACAGTCTGGATTATTGCGTTCCTTTCTTATTTTTATTTTCTCCAATTCCCTTTAATAAGCATGTACTGGATTCATAAAAAAACAACATAAATGGTAATTACAATATTCCGCACTGGTTAAAACTTATGTAAATAAGCATTCTGCTGCTTTAGCCACAATTGCAATTTATGCTCCTTCTCTTTCTTAAGTTCCCAGTTCCCACGTACATTCATTCGACTGATTCAAAAGTCATTTTAGCTTGATAGACTCTTAAAAGTTAGAGTTATCATTTCTGCTATTTATTCTTTCAATTATCCATTTGTCCACCCATCCATCTGATCCATTTTGTTGATGCATGCTGTGTATAAAATACTACACCAGCCTGGTGCGGTGGCTCACGCCTGTAATTCCAGGACTTTGGGAGGCCAAGGCGGGTGGATCACCTGAAGTCAGGTGTTTGAGACCAGCCTGGCCAACGTGGAAAAACCCTGTCTCTACTAAAAATACAAAAATTAGCCAGGCATGGTGGCAGACGACTCTAATCCCAGCTACTTAGGAGGCTGAACCAGGAGAATCGCTCGAACCCAGGAGATGGAGTTTGCAGTGAGCTGAGATCATGCCAATACACTCCAGCCTGGGTGACAGAGCAAGACTCCGTCTCAAAAACAAACAAAAAAAATACAATGCCAAGCATCATAAAAAATATAGTGATATATAAGACCTATTTGTTGTGCTCTAGGCATTGACATCTAGCTGTCAACCATTAATATGTGTAGGAGTCTATCTATCAATATTATGGACTGTGCTTGAAGACTTCTTCCCCAATCTTTTTCTCTTCCCATTAAGTTTGAAGTGAGGTTTTCTGAGTGAAGTATCATAGTACATACAGTCTCATTATTTTTCAAAAATCTCTGGTTATAGTACATTTCTTTCCTTTATCCCCTTTGTTCCCAACTATCAAACCATTTTGGATATCCAGTATTGGTATCCAGTATTATTAAAAAGCAAAACAGAGAACTATTAACAAAAAAATTTGTAGGAGTAATTGGTTGTATGGTATCCAGTACTATTAGATAGTAAATCAGAAAATTATTAACAAAAATTTTAGACGAATAATGGATTGTCTTGCCCAAGTGAATTGAGTGATTTAGTTGTTCTTTCATTTTTAGCAAGTACAGCTGATCATTTGAGGCCTTACTCATTGTTTGATTTTGCAAATTCTTACTATTATAAATGTTTTGGGCTCTGAGAAAGCTGTTGTCTTAATCTGTTTGTGCTGTTATAACAAAATACATGAGACTGGGTAATTTACAAACAACAGAAATTTATTTCTCATAGCTCTGGAGGCTGGGAACTCCAAGATCAAGGCATTTGTCTTCAGGTTCAGTATCTGGCGAGGGCCGGTTCTCTACTCCCAAGATGGTGTCTTGTCACTGTATCCTCCAGAGGGCCAAATGCTGTGTTCTCACATGGTAGAGAGATAGAAAGGGCCAACTCACTCCCTCAAGGCCTTTCATAATGTTACCAATTCCACTTGTCAGGGCTCTGCCCCCGTGACTTTATTACCTCTGCAAGGCCCCACCACTTAATACTATCACGTTGGTTATTACGATTTATCACATGAATTTCGACCATACTAGTTGCCATCCTTTCATTTTCATATATCCTTAAAACTTTGCCTTTCTCATTTTAATGTACTTTATCCACAGTATGCCAACTTTTCGATACTTTTGTTAACCTGTCTGACGATATATAGGAAACTGTAAAAGTGCAGTTTTTGATACACTCTTTAGCTGCCCGTTTACTTCTACTGTCGTTAGAGAACCCCATCCATAGTGCATGTGTTTATTTTGTGTATGAACAAAGACTTTATATATAGTTTGGGTCATTTTTATTCATTAGTGCTTCCCTTATAATCTCTGAATACCATTTTATTAGTACATACTGCTATTCTTAATAGTAACTAGCATGCCTGATCATCCCAAATGTCTAGGTTCACATTTTAAAATAAGTTATATCTTTGGGCTTAACAGTTTATTGAAAGGTAACAAGGATTGAGTCATAGTTGTATGTTTTTGGAAGTAGAATTCAACTGTAAATAGAAATTGGTTGTTTAGATCTCACTATATATGAAAAAATGAAGGCTTTAGGAGAAAATCTCCCCAAAGTACCCATTTTTCATGTGATAAATATCATGAAATGATTTGAGAAAAAAATGTATATTTGTTACAGCTAACAAATATTTGTGTTTTTTATTCTTCATGGAGAGAATGAAATTTCTTCTCTTCTTTACACATTTCTTTTTCTTATTAGAAACTAATTGGTGCCTTTATAAAAATTAACTGCAGAGCACTAACGTGTATATATAAGTATTATGTAGGGTGTAGGGTATGTTCAGGGTATGGTGTGTGTGTGTGTGTGTGTGTGTGTGTGTGTGTGTAGCTGTGTGTGTATATAATGAAATATATGGTAGTGTTGTTTCAGAAATCTGCTTGGTCTTCCCAGAGTTCATTCATCTTATAAATTCATCTACATTGATCTCTATTTTTGGAATCCATGAAATGTTTTTTGGCAGTACTTCCTTTAATATAGTGTGCTGGAAATCTGGAAATTTCTAGCCAGATTAGTTACAAAAAATTAGCCAGTGGTTTTGCACTCTCTATAGAATCAAGGCCCAAGGCCTACTCTTGTTACTCAGGGCCTTGTTTTATCTGGCCTCTTTCTTTTCAGCCATATAGCTCTCAAATACTCAACAAAATTCTTCATTCTAGGTAGACAAGTATCTTCAAAATACTTCCCAATTATCTAATAACTGTCTTACCACTAAGAAGGCTTTTATGTCTCCTGTCTGAATTTTATCCATGCAAAAAAGTCCAGCCCAAGCCTCCAGAACTCCAAAAAGTTATCCCTAACTGCTGAAACACAGTAATTTCACTATGTGAAATTTCACTTTGGTCTCCTAGCATTTGCAGATATACCATACATATCCTTGATCCTTTTCCTTTCATACCTTTTATATCTAACCCTTAAGCTAATAATTTTACCTACACTGTAATTCAAAATGTATCCCCAGTCTTACCATGTCTCCCTTCTCTACTGTTACCACCCTAGGCTAGGCCTTCATCATTTCTCACCTGGACTCCTTCCCTAACCTCTGAACTGATCTGCCTGCTTCCACTTAGACACCCAACCTAGTCCATTCTTGAGCAGTCGGAATAATTCTTTTAAGAAAGAAACCAGATCACATCCCCCTCTGCTCCCAACCATCCAGTGACCTCTTATCATACATAGAATGAAATGCAAATCTTTACTGTGTTTTAAAGGCCCTACATTATCTGGACCTCAGTAACTTCTTACTTCCTATCCCTTTTCTCCTTGTATGCCACCCTCCAACTACACTCTAACTACACTGTCTTTTTCCCTGTTCTTCAGACCTGCCAACCATATTTTCACTGCTCAATTAATATGTAGAAAATGAATTGTTTGTTAAATGTAGACTGTTTCCTTCTTAAAGCAAAGATAAATGACATTGTCTTCAAAAACAACTAACTGCCCAGAATTCCTGATTTTAATTTTAAAAAGACAAACTGCAAGAATGTGTTAAACAGTAAGGAAACAATTCACTACTTCAGAATTCTATATGATTTCACTGCACGTTAGTAATTTTGTATATTATAGAATATGAGGGTATTCTAATAAACTTAACTCTATGCTGTATACTTATCATGATAGCTCATTTTCTTATATGTTTATAACAGCACTACTTATTGTACATGGATACGTGGGAAATAAATTAATTTTCTCCTTAAGAACAAAGCAACCATTTCACTCATGAGATAAATCTTGAAGATTTAAAAACTACTTATAATTAATTATACATTATTCATATAATGTTAAGTATTTTCTTAGTAAACCACATAATTTAGAATGGCAATTGGACAGATGGGCAGAACCACATGCATCCACTATTAGGCAGTTGGTGAGCATAAGATGCCAGAAAGAAGATTAGGAATATCAAGGCAGGGAGCTTCCGATCGCTCTTGAAAACATTGACCCTTCACTCCTCACTCTCCACGATGCATTTCCTTTGAAAAGTAATGCCTTCCAAAACAAAGTTCTCTGTTTTATATCTAAACTTACTCAATAGTTTCTCATGGTTATTGATATATAAAAAATAAAGTAAAATGTTTAGGCAGACCAAAAGAAGAATTTCCCCCTCCCTCTGCCTTTTATGCCAAGGTGACAGCTATGAAATGTACAGTACGTTTCCTCTGCAAGGAATGTAGCAGTGTTCCATTGCAAGAAGATGAGAGGGAGAGAAAGGTTGCACGCTGAGGAATATAGTGTCATTTGTCACTGCCTAGACTCATCAGCTGTGTGGAACTCTGAGAGGCACCAGGCTTCTTTATTTATTTCTTCAGAAACTTCAGCAAAAAAGATTTCATTAGGAGCAGAGAAAAATGTGAAAAACGAATTAGCTTTTGTGATGGGGAGTAGTCATCTCTGAATATTGATCAAGATTAAGAGGGTTGTCTTCGTAACTTCTTTTATCCATAGTCTATACTGATTTAACTAGAAAACTAATTTCAGGTGGTATTTCGGGTGTGGCAGATCTTTATAGTAAATGAAGAATCTAGTCAAATCTACTGAAAAACTCTGCTTACTTTAATGTTTGATCTGGTTGAAACCATTTTAGCTTAACAATCCTTCCTCTGAAACAGGGAATCAATTGATATCCTACAGCAAAATTATGTGGAAGGGCCATTAGCTTCACATCCAATGCAAATTTTGCCTGTGTTTACTCTTCCCCAATCCAAAATATATCAGATCCTAGATGCCAGTGAAATCGTTTGAGCTAGATGGCTTGAGGGTCATAGCTTTTTTCATTTCCTGTTCTCAGACCTCTTATAATTGATAGAATAAAATCAGAAGAGCCCTAGAGCTGTCCCACCTATTCTGCCTCACAAAAGTAGAAGTAATGGCAACCACTATCATAGGGATCATGCTCACCTTTTTCTTACCAGACAAATTTGGATATTAGCTTGAAATTAATACCTTCCTTAAAATGTTGGAATTTGGTTATATGCGAAATTTTGCTCTATTTATTCATTATATTTTGTATGGAATTATTTTTGCCCTATATTTTCACTTAAGTGTTCTCTACCCAAGATTTTAATTGAACCCAAATCAGCCAGACACACAGACATGGATTTTGCTGCCACCAAGGTTAATTCTTCTTTTAAAGTTAACTTTTAAAATTTGGTAAAATATAGCTTTGAAAATTTGCATTCGTCTAGTGTTTGTTATGTATTTCCCCCTTTTGTTTGATTATATGTCTATATTTTTCTTGTAGAAATTGATTTTTAACCTGCTTTTTATGTTAGCTTTTATGAGCTTCTGTCTGAATTCTGAATATGTCTTTCTTAATGTCTTCTAAATGTTTCTTTCTGGATTATTAAAAGATTTATTAGGCTTTTAATAATTATATTTGTTACCTTAGGGAATGTGTTTGAAAATATTTTAAATGGAATTGCCAGTTAACACAGCATTGAACTTTTTCTTGTTAGAGATACATTGTTTTCTAGGCATTTTATTGGGAGAGAAGTTAGTATGATATAATGTCTTTGGCTGATATTAACTCTTCTAAGATGCATTGTTTCTGAGAACACCATTGTCTGATTTCATTCAGGGAAATTTCACACAAGCCAGTAGAGTCAATACTTTTTTCAAGACCTGTTAATTGATATATATAAAAACTTGCCATTGTTTACATGCCCATTTCAGATCCTTTATGTGACCTAAGCTAGAAATGCATTTTAACAGCATTTGTTTTTCCAAAAATATTTATTTATTTATTTATTATAGAGATAGCGTCTCTCTATGTTGCCCAGGCTGGCCTCGAACTCCTGGGCTCAAGCAATTCTCCTGCCTCGGCCTCCCAACAGTGCTGGGATACAGGTGTGAGCCATTGTGCCAGGCCCTTGTTTTTATTTTTTTTGAACATTGTATTTTGAAAGGGGTTTGAAGGTGATCCCTAGATAGCAACCAGTAATGATTCGAGCAGCAAAACAATCTAAAAAGTAATTTTATAAGAAAATGCAGAACATAAATGAGCCCATAAAAAATTATATTAGGTTCTATTTACATTACTACCTTCTTTCACATGTAATATTTCACTAACATTTAATGAATTTCTGTGCAGTGCCATATACCATTATGAATTCTAGGATAGAAGAATGAGTGAGAAATGTTCTTAGGCCTTAGGAAGAAGGAACAAGCATCTCTGTGTAATAGTTATTTCAACTCTTCTTTTACACCTCATTCCCATATTAAATCTCAGAAAAGCTAAAGTAATAGCTATCCCAGATCTATTTTAGACTCCAGACACTTACTTCAATGTCTTGTTCTCCTTATCAGACTGGAATCATTCCAAACCTCTTAACTTCTGGGCAACCATGATAATGCGACAGAAAGGACACTAAATCTGTCGCAAATTTATCTTGATATTCTATCCAGTCTTACTTGGTACTGAAGGTCACAAGTAAAATAAGGTGGTTGTTTTTTGTTTGTTTTTTTTTTTTTGACAGAAGAGAAAAGAACACTGTGAGCACAGAGTGAATGTCTAACATTGATTCTTGAGTAGCAGGAATTCTCTATGCGAGAGGATCTCTATGCAAAAAGATCTCATATTCTAGCACAATTTAAGGATCTCTATGCAAAGATATCCCATATTTTAGCATTATCAATAAGCTATGGGGTAATATATTGTATGTGGTGTGGCTTGAATTCTAGAAATTTGATTTCTAGAAATGGTCCCTGTAGTTAAGGATATATAATGTGGCCGTCTCCAGTTTTCTATGAGGAATAGGAAAATACTATCATTATTAGCTGTGTGACCATGGACAACTTGCTTCGTTCTTCAGTTGCATCATCTGTATAAAATAAGAATAAGAAAATTTACATCTGCAAGGTGTGATGGAGATCACATGGGATAATTGTGGTCCCAGAGCCTGGCACAAAAGGGCTTAATATTTATAATCCTCCCCATTTCTCCGTATACTCTAAAGGAAGTTTATTGCTTATCAAATTGTGCCGTGGTTAGTTGTACAGCTTCCCTGCCAAATTGTAAACTCCAACACTAATGTGACGTTACATTTTATATAGTGCTATGATTTTCAAATTGTTTGCATAATTTCAAATACACAGTAAATTGCTTTTTATTAGTATAATTATTGCTATTGTCAATATTATTATTACAACAGCTTCACAGTAAGATGGGCAGAAAAAAATTTAATTTCCATTTTACAAATGCACTTTTGAGGCTCACAGAAGTCAAATAGACCAAAGTCACAGGGCTAGTGAGGGACCCAGAAGAAACAAATTGTAATTCACTGATTCCAAGTTCAGTGGTTGCCTTACTGCATCATAAAGGCTATTACACAATCCAGGTGTATCATATGATTCTTGTCTATATATTCATACATATCAGAAAAAGTGTTCTACTCAAAATTGCTAGCAATCAACAGATACTGATAGTCATTAGTACTTAAATCTTTATCAAATGAAATATTAATACCCATGAAAGAGAGGACAATGAAAGGTTTGTATCATTTGTATGTCACAAGTCAACTTTTTTCAATCACTCATTATTAGTTTAACTGTAAAAAATTATTTACATTTAGCGTGAAACTTTCCTGTATTCTCAACATATTTCCTTCGGTAGAAAAGCAAACCTCCAGTTCTCTGTTCTTTGCTTGGATACTTGCCAGTTTGTAACTCAGCTATCAAACAGTAAAGCTCACAAAACACTTATTAAAATGACTAAAATCCAAAACACCAAGAGCACAGCATGCTGGTGAGATGTGGAGCAACAAGAACTTTCATTCATTCACTAATGCTGGCAATACAAAATGGTACAGTAACTTTGGAAGATAGGTTGACAATTTCTTACGAAGCTAAACTATACTTAACATATATATTTGTCCATTTTCACAGTGCTAAAAAGAAGTTCCCGAGACTGGGAAATTTATAAAGGAAAGAGGTTTATTTAATTGACTCACAGCTCAGCATGGCTGAGGAGGCCTCAGAAAGCTTATAATCATGGTGGAAGGAGAAGGGGAAGCAAGGCACCTACTTCACAAGGTGACAGGAAGGAGAATGAATGCAGGAGGAACTACCAAACACATAAAACCATTAGCTCTCGTGAGAACTCACTCGCTATCATGAGAACAGCATGGGGGAAACAGCTCTCATGATCTAGTTACCTCCACCTGGTCTCTCCCTTGACATGTGGGGATTATGGGGATTATAATTCAAGATGAGATTTGGGTGGGGACACAAAGCCTAACCATATCACCATATGATCCAAAATCATGCTACATGATATTCACCCAAAGGAAATGTAAACTGTGTCCACACCAAAACCTGCACATGCACGTTTATAGCAGCTTTATTCATAATTGCCAAAACTTGGAAGCAACCAAGATGTTCCTCAATAGGTGAATGAACAAAAAGACTGGCACATGTACTCAATGGAATATTATTCAGTGATAAAAAGAAATGAGCTATCAAGCCACAAAAACACATGGAGAAAACTTAGGTACGTAAGCCAGTTTGAAAGGTTGCATTCTATATGATTCCAATATATGACATTCTGAAAGAGACAAAATTCTGGAGACAGTAAAAAGATCAGTGATTGCCTGGGGCTCTGAGAAAGTGCAGAGGGATGAATGGGTGAAGCACATGGCATGTTTAGGACAGTGAAACTATTCTCTATGATACTGTCATGGTGGATACATGACCTTATACCTTTGTTAAAACTCAGAATTTTACAATACAGAGTGAATTCTAATATAAACTATGGACTTTAGTTGTAATAAGGTATCAATGTTATTTCATAAGTTTTAATAATGTACCACACTAATGCAAAATTATAATAATAGGGGAATTGGGGGAAGGGTAATGGAGTATATGGGAATGCACTGTAATCTCAGTACAATTATTCCACAAACCTAAAACTTCTTTCAAAAATACAAGCTATTGGTCAGGTGTGATGGCTTATACCAGTAATCTCAGCACTTTGGGAAGTCAAGACCCTCAGATCACTTGAGGCCAGGAGTTCGAGACCAGCCTGGCCAACATGGTGAAATCCTGTCTCTACTAAAAATACAAAAAAAAAAAAAGAAAGAAAGAAAAGAAAGAAAGAACAGAAGAAATAAAAGAAAGAAAGGAAAGAAAGAAAGAAGAAAAGAAAGAAAGAGAAAGAGAGAAAGAAAGAAGGAAAGAAAGAAACAGAAAGAGAGAAAGAAAGAAAGAAAAAGAAAGAAAGAAAGAAAGAAAGAAAAGAAAGACAGATGCGGTTGCTCATGCTTGTAATCACAACTACTCGGGAGACTGAGGCATGAGAATCGCCTGAACTCAGAAGGTGGAGGTTGCAGTAGGGTGAGATTACGCCACTGCACTCCAGCCTGGGTGACAGAGCAAGGCTCTGTCTCAAAAAAAAAAAAAAAAAGCTATTAAAAATATGTAAAGCTCAGTCTAGATACAGTACCAGAATAGTAGGAACTTTATTTCACCTGTCCTACAAATTATGGTTGTGTGCCACTTGGGTAAAACTCAGAATCCAAATATGTGAATGTAAGATTTATGGGGAAATTATTTGTATTTCAAAATAATCCTTAATGAATGCACTCCTTCTAAAGTAGCCATTAATAAAGCAGTTAATGTTTCATTTAATTATAGATTAATGTACATAAGATATGCCAGGAATGCAATTAGGAACTGGGAAGGGGGTGTTATTCTAATAACTTCCACATAGCATTGTGAGACATTTTCTGCTTTCTTCAAATTTCATTTAATTACATTTTAAACAAATATTTTTGTGAGCCTATTATATAGTCCTTCGCTAGCACTGAGGAGACATGCTTTGTGACCTTGGTGATTTCACATTCAAATTTCCCTTTCACCTACACTCTTCCTTGTTTTTTCATGCCTGTGTAGATTGTAAATTCTTCCTCAGATTAAGACATTTTATTCACCTTTGTAACATCCACAGTATCTAGCACAATCAGTGCCTTCAAAAACAATTGGCCTCAAGAATTGATTGACTCAATGAGTGACTGAAAGACTAAATTAATAAGTACACATCTATTTGTACTTCCCTGCTTACTTATAAGGTATGACAATGAAATACTGAGACAGTTATACATTACTTACGGACTCAATCTCATTTCTTTACAATCTCTATTCTTCTTTTTTGAGTATAATGTTATTTTACAATTCCACTAACTTGTCACTCTTTATTATAAATTCATATCTCCATTTCACCTGAGAATAATAAAGGCAAGGAAGTATTTTAAATGATCTTGTTTTTTATAACTAGCATTCATTGAGCAAATCAAAGTATGAAAATAATATAGGTGTCAGTGATTATTATAAAGTTGTATGCACAAAACATTCCAATGATTGGGGCCAATACAGAGAAAACATCTCAATATTTGGAATTTTGCTTTTCTGTAAATACTTTGATATGTACTTACATCATATCAATTATAACTCCTGCTGAAAACAAACAGTGCACACAAATTTGGTAGTTGGAGGAGACTTTATAAAGGGACTAATTACGAAGGTTTAGACCGGGTTAGGAAAAACACACGGAATAGTGCAATACTTTAGGATGGCAACAGCGAGCACCGTTATAACCACTAGGCCAAAATGAACTAAATGAACAGGGAGATTACCATTTATCAGAAAAAGAGGGAGAAAGGAAGGAGAGATGACCAAGCAAGTCCTATGTGAAGACGGCTGCCTGACTTGAGCTGTGTGATCTTTGGACTGATACCACCTGCCTGCACTGGCCTAGCAGGGCGAGAATAGTCAATATCTGGAAAATGGATCACCTGACCTTACTTTCCTCCCTCCCTGTTTCCTCTTTGTGGTGTTTCCACTGGCCAAACTCACAGCGTAGACAAAAGGAGTGCATTGATGTAGCAGTGGTTCTAATCCAGGGCCAATTGTGCTCCCAGGGAACATTAGTGGTTATCACAGCTCAGGGGAGGAAGGGAGAGGAGTGGAGTGCTACTATGATTCACTGAGGGATTTTTTTAAACATCTACAATGCACAGGACATCCTTCCACAACAAAGTATCCAGTTAAAAAATGTCATTACTGCCAAGGTTGAAAAACCGTGGTGTAGTCAGTACAATTCATCTTCTCCAGGCACAGTGCAGGAGTGGGGTGGAGTGTCTGAAGGGGAAGAAGGAAGAAACCAGCACACCCCACAAAAGTAACCAATGCAAATACCAAATAGGAAAAGACAGCACTTAAAATACAAAAGTCTCAGGAATATATCTGATAGTGTTTTATGGAATTTATTAAAATTTAGCCTGGAGTGAGTAATATTTAGCAAGCCAGGTTTGTCTTTAGAGAAATCCTTGTGGGGTTTATACAAGGATTTATTAACAAAGGGCACACACAATACTCATATTACAGTCAGTCTGGTTATGTAAAACATGGGCAAGAATGTAATAGGACAATGTGATGTATTCACAAAGGATTTTAGGACTACACAGATAATCCTCTAATGCTTTCACTTACGTACTATGAAAGGCTATAGTTTGCATAGTGATATAGCCACGTAAGATAGTAAACTTGACATTCATGCAGCTATACATGTTTGCACACACCAGGATGCATGCCCTTTCTACCTGGTTGATTTTTTATTCTTTTATTAATCTCTAATTTATTCCCCAGAACACTCTCCATAAAAACTTTCTCACAACTTAAATCTTTAATCTATTGTGTGGATTTCTGACTCATTCTCCAAGCTTTTCCTCTTCCCTCCGCAATGCCTTATAGTCTTATGACTATTTATCCCTTTGCCTACATTTCTAGCCAGATCTCTTGCCTGATACACACTCTCATATTTCTCTTTGCACGCTACACATTTTTATTTAGATATCACACTACTACTTTGATTTCAACAGGTCTCAGTTTAACTTAATTTTTCCTTCAAGCAAGGAGTCCCTTCATATCAGTTATCACCATTGGCACCAGAATTTTTCTTATGACTTCCCATGACCTACAATATAAACCATATAAATCACTGATGCCTCCATAGTTCCCTCCCTCTCAAATTTAGCCATAAGATGATTTTAGGATCCTTGTTTTTTCCAATCTCTCTTTCATTCTCTCCCCCATCTCTTCCATTATGAAGGTTTGGATAGGACACAACTCATGCCTAGATTAGTGCAATAGATGCTGAGCCTGTGCAGCGGTAGTTTAGCTTTCTCTCCTGGTTAACTTTAACTGCCACATATATCACTTCACACGTCATTTTTCATTCAAACGTATTTAACTGGCTCTTCATTCATAAGAAGCTGGAATTTGTCGTTTGACTGATATTTTAAAGATTTTATATTTTTTCTCCATCCTCGTTCTAATGTTGTATCTTGTGTCATTTGTTCATTCATAAACTTAAGACTTAGCTAACCACTGAGCATCCAGGAAATTCAGTATCTATCATGTGAATTCTCTAATACTGGTTGATCCATTGTCACCAGAGCATAGCAGGCTTCTCCTGCCTTTATGTATGTTTGTCATATAGTTCATGCCTAAAATTCTTTCTTAAATCTTAAATTCCTAAGATACACACTTTTGCCCAAGATCACAGTAATCTCTGCCATAATCTCTGCTGGAATCTGTTCACTGTGTTGCTCCTGCTAAACTTCTTACAGATGACTTTTTTTCTTTTTGGTTTCCCTGGTATCTAGTATAATTTCTTATATAGGTACTCAATAAATGTTTCCTGTTGATCTCTACACCTACTCTGTACAATACCATAGTGACTAGACACATGTTGCTATCAAGCATTTCAAAAGTAGCTAGCCTGAGTTGAGATATAGGGGTAAAATACACAACAGATTTCAAGACATATTATGAAAAAAACCCATAAAATTTCTCAGTAATTTTTTTATAGATTACATGTAGAAACTATAACATTTTGAATAAGTTGTATCAAATAAAATATAAAATTCACCCGGTTCTTTTTAATTTGTTAAATGTGGTGGCTAGAAAATTTAAAATTACATAATTGGCTCACAGAATAATTATAATGGATGGTATTGCTTTAGATCAAGTTTGTCTAACCCGTGGCCCATGGGCCACAAGCGGCCCAGGATGGTTTTGAATGAGATCCAACACAAATGTGTGAACTTCCTTAAAACATTATGAATTTTTTGTTTGTTTTGTTTTTGTTTTTTTCTCATCAGCTATCATGAGTGTTAGTGTATTTTATGCATGGCTCAAGACAATTAATTCTTCTTCAAATATGGCCCAGGGAAGCCAAAAGACTGGACAACCCTGCTTTAGATAGTAAAGCATATGAGTAGTTAATGTGTACTATAAGCAGTGTGATCTGATAGACTATTTAATGTTGTTTGATGGTACATTATTCAAGTCGATTATTATGTCTACCTATGCAGTTTAACGACGGTAATGAGAGAGGGCAGCTTGATTACAGGTCTTATCTTTTGACTAACTTGCTAGGCCACCTGAGAAGGACCCAAATTATCTGAATGCTTAACTCAACTAATTTGTATTCACTTGAAGAATTTCAAGGATGTTTATATGCCATCAACTTGCTTTAAATTTTTTCTCTCAGTGAAAATTTTTCTTAAAATGAGTATGTGGTATTCAAATTTATCCTTGTTTTCTATGATTATCTTTTCATAGCACTGTGGTTTCCAGG
Source organism: Homo sapiens (assembly GCF_000001405.40). Taxonomy (NCBI): domain Eukaryota; kingdom Metazoa; phylum Chordata; class Mammalia; order Primates; family Hominidae; genus Homo; species Homo sapiens. The sequence goes on along the minus strand of NC_000004.12, from coordinate 89,798,188 downwards.
AACCTTTTTTTTTTTGAGATGCATTCTACATGTAACTATTGCACAGTTTGCATGTAGTAAGGTTCATTATTCTTCTACTTTTCCAAACACCTGGCATGTTTACTTGAGGTTGGTACACCTTGTATCCCAGATTTTGCTGTTTTTAACTTAAATATTGAATATTTTGATTAAACATTATGGAAAGTTTAAATGGGTCAAGAAAAATAGCTTTTCTTCCCATGAAGAACAATACGGCATAGGAGTTAAGAGCATAGATTTAAAGTCAGAAAACCTGTGCTGCCTACTTGTGCAAAGTCACTTACATGCTGTACTTCTGTTTCTTCATCTGTAAGTTCTACCCCTAGGTATTTACTTAAGATTAATGGAAGCATATGTTCATACAATGACTTGTACAGAATTATTCACGATAGCATTACTCTTAATAGCTCTAACTGGTAACAACACAATAATCAATCAACAATTGTGCTGTATTCATACAGCAGAATACTACTTAGCAACAAAAATGGAATGGACTACTGATAACCTCAACAACATGGATGAATCTCAAAACTATCATGCTGTGTGATGCCAGGCACAAATCAGTACATACTATAATTCCAGAAAAGACAAATGTCATCCATGGTAACAACAAGATCCATGCTTGCTGGAGGTAGAGGCATCAGTTCAGTCATTCAGGAAGCTGATTCCAAGATGGTGTTAGAATTACAACCATCCACAAGAGATTTATTGCAGGCAATAGCTATGAAAGGTAGAAAGAGAACAGGAGAAAAACCAGGCAAGGAAAAACCACAATGTAGTTGTGATATCACTTCAAAGGGAGGCAGAAGGAAGGAGAATTGGGTAGGAATAGCCACAGATTACAGTGCAGTTACAAGAAAGTCTTGGCTTCCAACAAAGGTTACTTGTTGAGGAGTCATGCATTAGGCAGACATGTCTGGGCTGTAGTTTCCTTGCTGCTCCCAGTCATTGGCTGGAGGCCAGTCTGGGTTCCTGTGCTGTGGTGGATCCCATTGCTGCTGCAGCAGGAGGCCAATAGCACTCCTGGCAGCTAATTGGAGAGAAAAGATCCAAGAGGTGTACCTTCATGGCTACCCCCATGGGGCTGGGGTGGAGGTGGAGGAGAAGGAGAAGGAATTAACTAGAAAAAGGCACAAAGGAAAATTGGGGAAAATAATGAAGATATATGATTTCTCAATTGTGGTGGTCGTTACATGGGTTTATTAATGCATCAAAACTCAAGAAATGTACATTTAAAATGAGTGCATATGATTGTAAGTGAATTATACCTCAATATAGTTAATTTTTTAAAAATCATAGATTTCTTTATATTTAATGCATGAACATAAACCTAAGACACTCCTCCACTCCAAAACTTAATTACCTTGTGATCAGCAGAGCAGAAGGTACTTTGTGATATATAGGTAGAGAAGATGAAGTCTTGTGACATTTAACAAGGGACAGGAAAATGGACCTTGTCCTAAGTTACCAAACTGCAAAAATATCACCTACAAAGGCTATTCATAACATACATTTTCAAGGGGGTTACAATATTTGCCTACTATAAAATTTTGGATCTGTAAAGGGGTTAAATTATTTGTGCAGGGGAATAAACATCAAAGAAACATTAAGAGGTCCAGAGAAGTAAAATAGGAAGGGTCTTTTGGCTAGAGGAGATATTTAACTTTCAGAACATGTGGAATTAAGTTGTATTGATTATGATCTGATCTTCTTCCCCCTAAATTTGATCCTCTTCCTGTAATCTATTGTTTCCATCATCTTCAACTCTTCCCTTTCCCTCTCCCTTGTCCCTCAGTTCTAGTCAATCACAAAGTCCTACAGTTTCACTTTCTGTATACCTTATTTCTGGAATTCATCTCTAGACTTCAAAATATATATATATATATTTTTTTTTTTGAGATGGAGTCTCGCTCTGTTGCCCAGGCTGGAGTGCCGTGGTGCAATCTCAGCTCACAGCAGCCTCTGCCACCCAGGTTCAAGCGATTCTCCTAGTTCAGCCTCCTGAGTAGCTGGGATTACAGGCATCTGCCACCACGCCTGGTTAATTTTTGTATTTTCAGTAGAGATGGGGTTTCGCCATGTTGGCCAGGCTGATCTCGAACTCCTGACCTCAGGTGATCCACCCGCGTCAGCCTCCCAAAGTGCTGGAATTACAGGTGTGAGCCACTGCTTCCAGCCCAAAATATCTTAAGTAGATAATTGCACGACTAATCTCTGCTTTTCTCTCCCAGCAGCCTTCCAAATTCATGTCTCACAGCTGACAGAGTTGTTCCTGCCTTCAGATTCATGACCTGGCTCTGTGTTCTAGCTCAGGCTTTCTCTCTCATATCACCTCTTGCCTCTCTGTTGCCCCCATATTTTCCCCTCTGGTTGGTTGGTGCTCCTTTGGAACCCTCTGCATATCTTTTCAAGAATATTATGACTTATTATGCCTATAAACTTTGTTTAATTATTTATTTCTAAAATTTGACAGGGAACTTTCCGAAGGCAGGTATTGTGTCTTTCTCATTTAAAAGCAAATTCTCGCCTGGCATGGTGGCTCATGCCTGTAATCCCACACTTTGGGAGGCTAAGGTGGACAGATCACTTGAGCCTAGGAGTTCATGACCAGCCTGGGCAACACAGTTAGACCAAAAAAAAAATATATACGAAAATTAGCCTGGCATGGTGGCACACCCCCGTAGTCTCAGCTAGTCTGGTAGCTGAGGTGAGAGGATCACTTGAGCCTGGATGGTTGAGGTTGCAGTGAGCTGTGATTGTATCACTGCACTCCAGCCTGGGCAAAAAAGTAAGATCCTGTCTCAAAAAAAAAAAAAAAAAAAATTAGTGAATCCTCAGTGTTTAAAAAGTCCATAAACATACTAAACATAGAAGACCTCCAAATGAAATTAATCAATTATTATTTAGTGGGTTGCTTCTCTTTTGTTTTAATATAGTTTTAACAAAGAGTAAAAGTTATGATCTTTTTATATGTAAAATAAATAATGCCGGGTTTGACATAAATTTTAGGAAAACTAGAGACGCTACTTCCTAAAAATTTTCTTTCTATAATCTTCCTAAATATTTTTCCATAAAGTACAAAATAATAGAAAAAAATTAAGAGATTGAGTATCCTTTCAGGAAGTGATATGACAAATAGGGTTCGAGAACTATTTGAATTCTCACCACTTTTCATAAGGGCAGATCTCAAGTTAAATTTTTCTATTCGAATTTAAATGACTTTCACTGGAATACCATTACAGAAAAGCTTCTGTGTTTAGATGGCAATATGGAGTTTCTTTTCTTGGAATATTAATTGAAGGAGAAGTCTTAATTTTTTAAGTCTATATCTCCGTATATATTTGAACCTATTTTATATGTTAGTCCTTCTCTTTAGTAACCTTCATCCACAGTGAACAAGATTTACCCTTACCTTTAAGCAGTAGCGGCTACTTTATGTGAAGTGAACAGCTGCTTTTTTTATCTGCATCTAGACATCAAGTAGTCCAGAGTCCTTTCTAACACCCTAGCAATAGAAGTAAGAATATTTTGACCATTCCATGACTTGATGATACTTCTAGTAATAATACTGTATTATTAAAAACAAACAAACCTTTGTGCAGTGGTAATTGAAGCAGTTCCTTGGGAACATGTATTAAGTACTTTTTAGCAGTTAAGTCCACTCTCTGTAGGTTAAGGAATATTTAAATAAAATAATGTGGCAAATGAGTTCAAGATGATAAATGCGATGAGAACTAAAACAGCTTTAATTTTATGTGGGAAATAAATAGAGGAAAAGTACATTACAGGGCTCCTGGACTTATTTCTTTCTTCAAAGTGTTTCTCCTAGCGAATATTATTACTATTTTTTCTCTTAAGTAAAAAATACACAAAGTATGAATCTACACAGGATAATAATATTGAAGTTAAGGATGATGTCTCCTCCTTCACTCTCCAAAATACTATTTACTTGGCTTCATGGAAATCTCTCTCACTCCAATTCCACCGTGTCAACTGAGGTCTTCTGTTCTTTCTCTCCCTATAGCATATTCCTGTTACATAAATCCTAAACTGTGTCGTGTTAGTCACACACTGTAACCTCTAGATAAGCGCCTGTCCAGAGGTTCTCAATCAGAGCCTTGCAAATATGTATTAAATCAATGGGTCATCTTCAGTGTCTCAGTGGGCCCTTGGATATGTTTTGCAGACTGCTGTGAGTATGTAGGGATGTCCAGTATCGAGGGAAGTGTGGATGGCTTTCATTGGTTCTTATAGGGCTGAAGAACACATAGAGCAGTAAGCACTTCTACTGTAGGGAGAGATCGAGCTTCTCCCATCCCCACTGCTGGCACCACCACCACCCTACACCCCATTTTGAGTTCTGAAAGTGAATCCTTGAGAAAGAACACACAAAACAACCATCATAATAGTGGGCACAGCTGTGGGTGGTAGAATAACATTCCCAAGCTTCTTTTCCTACACATGATTAATATTAATTCAGCAAACATTTATTCAGCTCCTACTTTTAAACAGGCACTATTCTAGGTACTAAAGACATAGAGGCAAAGCATACAAGACTCTGCCTTTGTGAAACAATTAAGAAATAAGTAAAAAGAAAAGAAACAGAAAAGGCAATTTGGATAGTGTCAGGTGCTATAAAGAAAACAAAATGCCATTTTAATAAATAATAATAATACAATGTTTTCATACTATGTGCTAGACACTATGCTAGTAGGTATTTATAGACATAACCTCAATTAATCCTCAAAATGGCATGTTGATATCAATACCCCAAGTTTACATATGAGACTTAAGATGTCTGAGTATATTCCCCCAGGTAACAATTAATATGCACAATAAAACTTTTTGCTCATTCATTTATTAACCTATGTTGATTGAGTACCTATTTTGTGTCAGGCATCATTTTAAGGCACCTGGATATAGTTATGAACAAACAAATAAAAATCTCTGCCCTCAAATAATTAATATCTCACAGAGGTTAGGCAAAATATAATCAGAAAATAAGTATAACGTATAGGATGCCAGATCATGAAAGAAGCTATGAATGGCATCAAGAAGCTGGAAAAGGCAAGGAGACAGATTTTCTCCTAGAGTCTCCAAAACAGAACACAGTCCTGCCGACACCTTAACTTTAGGCTAGTGAGACCCCTATTGGACTTCAGACTTACAATCCCACAATGTAATAAATTTGTGGTAATTCAGTAGGGGAACAATAGAAAACTAATACGATATCAAAACAAATTATATCATAGAACAAGAAAATGTAATTGTGACAAATAATACCTACAAAAATGTTGTAAATGCTAGGCAAATAATGTGTTTAAAGCACTTAGGCCAATGTTCAACGTAAAGTAATTCATGCTATAATATCATCATCATCATTACCAATATTTAGGGGCTCTAACAAATGATGTACGTGTAAGCAGATGTAAGAAAATTTCCTTGCTGAAGAGGAGGTATTAATAGAGTATATAACAATAGATAACAAATTCCAAATAAAGGCAAACTAAATGTTTTATTGGATTAAATTTAATTTTAAAAACTACAAGAGGCCGGGCGCGGTGGCTCACGCCTATAATCCCAGCACTTTGGAAGGCTGAGGTGGGTGGATCACGAGGTCAGGAGATCGAGACCATCCTGGCCAACATGGTGAAACGCTGTCTCTACTAAAAATACAAAAATTAGCTGGGCCTGGTGGCGCGTGCCTGTAATCTCAGCTATTTGGGAGGCTGAGGCAAGAGAATCACTTGAACAACCAAGGAGTCGGAGGTTGCAGTGAGCCAAGATTGTGCCACTGCACTCCAGCCTGGCAACAGAGTGAGATCCCGTCTCAACAACAACAACAACAACAACAACAACAACAACAACAACAACAACAAAACTGTGAGATCCATGGTGGGCTTTTAAGAGGAAAATGCAAGCTAAGGTTTGTTTAGACTCTGAGTACTGCATGTGTAAAAATAAAGGCATGATGAAAAGATCAAGAGATTAGAGTGATACTTTTTATCTACTAGTGTCAGAGTCATGACCAGGGGATTGGCTATGAGAATACATAAGCTGTGCCAGGAGTAATCCAAGGAGATTGTTTCAATTTGGAAGAGTGTCCACAGAATGATTCTCATACTAGACGTTGGGCTATTGTAAAGAAAGTTGGTAGGTACTCCATCGCTAGGATCATATCAGGGAGAAATTGAACAGGATGGCCCTAATGACCCTGTTGTACCCCTAGCTTATGGATTAGGCAAGTCACTTCTACTCGTATACCCTGTTTCCCCATTTGTAAATAAGAGGATGTGTTACTCTAAGGATCTCTAAGATTCTTTGCAGTTGTTAAATTGCATAGCTCTCCACTGATTCCATGGTGGAAATTTGCTATTCTATTACAAATATTCTAAATGTATGAGATATCAGACATACTCATTTAAAAAACAAAATACAAAAAATAAGTATTCTACAAATAAACACAGATAATGTTTAAATTCTATATGTCTTTGTTTCTCTTCAGAAGCATCCAAAATACAAACCATCTAAGAGGCAAGAAAATGTCGTGATGTTCCTAGTGCAAGTTAAAAAGATTTGCTTTCCTCAAGTCGGAAAGCCCTTCTCATTTTTGAGGTTTTTTTCTTCTTTTTTTTTTCAAGTGAAAGCATTTTGGAGGAGTCAATATCCATCTTTAAAGGTAGCCAGGTCACATGTATACATATGTAACTAACCTGCACAATGTGCACATGTACCCTAAAACTTAAAGTATAATTTAAAAAAAAAGAATTTAAATAAAAAAAGAAAATCAGAGAGAAAAAAAAAAAGATGCATGTGCACCCTGATACTACCATCCATAGTGATACGGTTTGGCTTTGTGTCCCCACCCAAATCTCATCTTGAATTGTAACCCCCATGTGTTGAGGGAGGGACCTTATGGGAGGTGATTGGATCATGGGGGTAGTTTCTCCATGCTGTTCTCATGATAGTGAATGAGTTCTCATAAGATCTAATGGTTTAAAATCATGGCACTTCCTTTTGCTCTCTCTTTCTCCTGCCATGTGAGGTGTGCCTTGCTTCCCCTTCCCCTTCTGCTATGATTGTAAGTTTCCTGAGGCCTCCTCAGCTATGCAGAACGGTGAGTCAATTAAACTTCTTTCTTTATAAAAAAAAAAAAAAAAAAAAAGGTAGCCAGGTAAAAATTACTTGTTTCCAGGACATTTTCACCTGAAAGAAGCATTGTCATATAACATAGAAGCAAGAAATCCAGTAGTGGGGGTTATTTAAAAATAGCTGGAAAATTTCAATCAGCATGAGTTTGAAGCAACAATTTATCATCACCTTTTATGGTGGGTGGGGTTAAGAACATTTCAGCGGGCAAAGTGGTGGTGATGGGGAAGAGACACCAGGGGAGGTGATTCCCATTGCATTGCTTTGTAAACAGAGGCACAGGTTCTTCATTTTTGTCACACAAAATCACAGCTATGCAGAATTTATTAATTTATTCTTCTGAGACAAGAAAAAAGCCACCAAAGGAAACCAACAGCTTGCTCCTCTCACACTGGGGGAACCATATGAGAGACTTATCTATCCCTGACTTTAATTTTGACCTGAGGAGAGCTCCTCTTAAGGAAAACAAATTAATTCAATGACTATACTACTTAATCATTGACCTTTATTTAATAAGAGATTTTTCCATAGGATATGCTGAGCTGTCTCACTTACATCAGTTGTGTCTCCTGAGGTGGGTGACAGGAGACCACAAATATTGCATAGCACACAAATCGTTAATAGCAGCTGTATACCAAACCATTACCTAAATATGTAGAGTACAATTCATTCTCACTAATGTCAGAGAGCATGCTATAAAATGGTGAATCCGGACAGCTGAAGATACTGAATAATAACCTCTATTTTGAACAAGTTTACAGTGTTCCAATCAGTAATTAAATTGATACCTGATGAATATATGTGTGTGTATGTATTCATAGCAGAGATGGTTTTCCTGAGATAAGGATTTTGTTATTCGGATAGGCTGCTGCTGGAATTGTCCTTCTACCCTTGTTTCTTTGTCCTTAGTCATCACTCATACCTCTTTCCACTCTTCTGCCATCACTTTTGTCACCAAAGTCATGGTCCTTTCCCCGCCGATTGCTGCTGCAGGTCTAGGGCACCAAGACTTAGGCAGCACTCACCATGTGCCAAGAACTGGACCACAGGTACCATCCAGCATTGCTCATGGAGACTCTGTCCCTTTCTGTAGGACACCCTCCTTTTAGCTAGCAACCCCTCCACCACCTAGAGCCTCTGGACCTCTCATTTTAATATTAAGAACTAGGAAAACTTACCGCTGAGAATAACTAGTACAACTAGAACTGGTAGAGAAATCTGGGTCTCTTGGGAATGGATTTTTAGGCTTTATTGATTAGAGGTGTATTAATAATGCAGTGTTATAGTTTCATGACATAACGAATAAAAAAGTTCATTTTGGACTTGCCTTTCAGCTCCCTAGGAGCTAAAAGACGTATTTAATGTAACTTGTGTGGTGGAAATAAGTTCTTTTTTCAGGCAAAAGATGTGCAAACCCATCTGGGGAAGAAACATTAAAAACTAAGGAGACAGTGTCCTAGATAACTATGTTCTTTTCCTGTTTTAGTCTAAAATAATGATTAGTTTTCTTATATATCTTCATTTGTCTTGGTTCCTTTTAGCCCAATTTAATAATATTATTGCAGATATTGATGAAAACCTTTACCTTCCTCTTAATTCATCAAAGTACTTGATAAAATTTATACATAGTACATTAATTGGGAGGTTTTTATGAGATTAATTAATATAATGAACTGATGTTGAAATTATTTAAAACCTGAATTATTATTGTATTAAGTAGGACACTTAATACAGTTAATCAGTTCTGTCTTTATTCATTTGTGAGAATTTTTGGCAAGCTATTGTGAATATTCAGGGAAGGGAATGTATTTTTAGCAGGAATCTTATACCTCCTACATAGAAATGAAGCATTTACTGAAACATCCATGAAACAAAATGTTTCTGAATGTGTACTATACACTTGTTATAAGCCCCTTTTCTTCTGTAGCTATATTTTGGAGAAAAATCTTTGCTTTGACAAAAAAAATTATGTTGACTTACACATATATTTTATAACTAAGCAGTGTTTGGTTTGTGATAAAGGATACAAAAATATAAAAATGTTCAGCACACGTAAGTAAGGCCTTGTTGACAGTGTGAGTTATGCTACTGGATACTCAAAAGGAACATTCAGTGTTCTCAGGTGGTCTCTAGACTGTCTCAAGCCTAGGAAGATATTTTATAAGCAAAGGAATAAGAGAAGGAAGATTCAGATTTAATCCAAGTGAAGAATTCAGTTTTGTGTGCCTTATCCTGTTATTTTGAGAGGCAGCCAAAAGATGCTGGTCAGCAAGGAGAATTGTAAGTTGGGCAGCCAACTCTGATTTCTCAACCTCTTAGCTGTTTTCTTAAACTCAGAATTTTTAATGAATTTAAATGTCCATATCAGGTAGACTTTGGGGATGCTTTTACCAGTGATTTTCAGAATGTTACTTTCTGGCATTTCTTTTCACGTAGCATTATATTAAAAATGAATTCATTCATCCACCTTCCCTTGTCCTTACTAATTTTCCCTCCTACTCCCTTCCCCCTTGTTCTTGCCATGGGGACATGCAAACACTGGTGGTTGATGTCTGAGCAAGGCTGCTGACAGGGGGAGGAAGGAGATGTCAAGCAGAGGTCAATGGCAGTGTGCCCAGCAGCCTAGGAAGTAGGAGGGAAAAGAGAGAGAGACAGAGATGGTGGATGAAAGAGAAAGCCAGGATGATTATGGTGGTTATGATACTTGTCATGCTGAACACCCAATTGAGCACCCAATAAGCACATAATAATTTAATCATCCTCTGGCTTGGATGGCAGTGTTCTATCAGTGTTGACTTCCTGGTTGTGACAGTTTTACAGTGTTAGTGTAGAAGAGAATCCTTGCTTTAGAGAGGTACTTACTGAAGTACTTAGGGTTAATGCACCATTGTGCTGGAAAAAGATACGCACACACACGCACACACACACACACACACACTCTCACACACACGCACAAATACATCCATGTGTTAGGCAGAGGGAGCAAATGAGGTAAAATGTTAACAATTAGGAATTCTGGGTGAAGTGGATAGAGGGACTCTTTGACTGTTCTTGAAACTTCTCTATACATTTGATCTGTTTCAAATTCTTCAGAAAATCAAACTACAAAAACTTAATTCATTTAGTGAACATCTACTGAACATCTGTATATTAAATAGTGTTAAATGAATGTCAATTAAAATGCTCAAACACAGTAGAGGTTGATTCTCATTCACATAAGTCCATGGTAGGTGTTTTTGGCAGGTGGGTGAGTTTCTCCCTTAGGGAGATTGAGGAACCCAGACTCCTCCCAAGTTGCAGCCCCACCGTCTTCTGAGGGGATGCATCCATACCCACTTCGAAGTAGCATACATTATTTCCTTTCTCATTCCTTTGGATACCAGCCACAATTTATTCAAGGTAGACAGAAAATTGTAGTATATAGCCATATGCCCTGACAAAGAAGGGAGAACAGATTTTGGTGGACAACTAGCAAACTCTGATACAATCTGTTATTAAGCACTGTGTGTGGATAGATGCTAACTAGAAGGAGATTATCTTCCCTTCAGCAAATATAAACTGAATGCCGTTTATTTGGTTGAAACTAAGCTAGATCATGGGAGTATAGAAATTTTATAAGAAGACATAGTCACTTCTGTCAGTGAGCTCAAGAAGAATTAGTATGCGGAATGTAATCATACCTACAGGGGGCTTGTGCCACTTAAGTAAAATGAAACATTATTTTGAGTACAATTTAGCAATAAATGTACTACGAGATCATTAAAAATCATGTTTGAATGTTATTGTGTCAAGGATGGGAAAAAGACTTTTGGGTTGTAGACTTGATAATTATAGTTAAAAACAGTTTTTATTCTTGTTTAGTCTTATTTTTTATGTTTAAACATATTTATACTTGCTAACATTTATACTTGCTAAGTAAAGACTGTTTTTACAACCATGACAAGAACAAAACATATTAGTAATGCAAATGCCACATTTCCTACAATCAACTAATCACACTAACATATTTGCATGGAAGAATCACTGGGATTGATCTGGCCACGTGTGTAGTCATGCCCAAAATGTGAAGTCCATCTGTTTTGCAATTTTTTTTAACCACTGTTATCCAAATGCTCCTTGGATTTTTTTTATTAGTGGATATATTTTGGAGGTCAGACACCCTCTTGGCTAGATCATCACCTTTATAACAAATATATATACTATTCTCATGGAAATATATTTAGACATTGCCCTACTGGGAATTTTTTTCAAGTAATTAATGTACAGCTTGTGCAACAGCTTGATCTTGGCTTCATGGAAATAATTCACTCTTAGCAGCATCTAATGCCACAAAGCATTTATGGATGTCAGCTCAGAACTTACTTTTATTTATCTCTGAGTTACTTTTTTTTTTTTTTTTTTGAGACAGAGTCTCACTCTGTCTTTGGCTTGTCCCTAACCTCTTAACAGACTTAATATTAAGCTCCATTTCACTCAGTCGTTCTGTTGTCATATAAATGAGACATTCTACAAGCATAGTTTTTAGTTTCTGCCAGAGCATCATACAACATTGTGAGCTATGATGAAGATAAAGACCTAGAGAAGATATTTAATATGAAGTTCATTATCTAATATTTGGTATGTGTGGCAAAATAGCAATCTACTGCTTGGTTCTGCTGTAATCTATTTACCCACCCATCCCATCTTTCTTTCAATTTAAAAGGATAATGATTTTAGTCACGATTATACATAAACCCATTACCATAGGCAATAAACAATGGGGCAAACCATTGGTCCCATAGTTGGAGTGTGGTCTGAAGTGTGTTTTGGTGGAGAGAGATCTATGTCTGGAGATAGCTAACATGGATTTGGATCCCAGATCTGCTCCTACCTGTTGCTGTGCCTGTGACCAAATCATGTGATCTCTCTGGTTTCAGTTTACTTGTGAATAAAGTAAATACCTTCATCAACACCTGTTTTTGAATACAATGTTTTTCTGTAATTTTTGCTTCTTATAATGTTATAATGATCATCCTTACATCTAAATCTTGGTTTACATTTTCATCAATTCTTTTGGAAAGATTGGAGAAGTAAATTTTGGAGATGTATGTCGGCTATTAAAAATGTTTAATTTTTTAATTAAAAATTAAAACGTTGAAAAATCCTGATGCAAAATAAATGCATTATGCTTAGTGAACTCTTCTCATTTCGAAGTTTATTCACCTTCTTGTTTTTGCAAGTTTCCTGAAAAATGCATATAAAGTCACTAAGTTAGCAGAACTTTATAAAATTATATAACTATATATAATCTTTTGATATCAGTGAAGCCAGCTGATCCTATAGAAATAATGTAGGAATTATAATCACTAGCACATAATTTAAGAGTCCTGTGGTCTTATTCATGTTATTTACCCTCTCTGAATCTTACATATAGTAAGAGGGTTATTATACATAATATGTGTACATGTATACAGGTAAGTAAGTATATATGCTTATGTGTAAAAGCAGAGTTATTGTGAGAGTCAAATGGAAATGTGAAAGTACTTTGTAGTTTTTTATTACTATTATTAATTTTTAATAAAATGGTAACATTCATTTAATAATCATTAGTTTTAACTTCAGATTGTACTGGATTTCCTCTAGTATTTCTTAAGATTAGTGAATAAAGTATTTCTCCTAATAAATATATTGACTACTGTCTTTCGATCAAACATATTAGGTATATTTTTACAGTAGCATCAGGCAGTGAAAATTTGAAGCTCTTTATAGAGGACTGATTTATGATGAAAAGGAATAACATGAACAAATGGAATTATATGAAGCTTCCCCAGAAATATCTAAGAGGGGCCAATTTTAAGAAATATCTGACTTCTTTTTCATGGACATTTCAAAATAAACCTAACTCATATGGTACAGTTTTTAAGAGGGAAAAGAAAAAACCATCTGAGAATCTCTGGAATTCTGCCGAAAGTATCACTTGGCATTTTATTCTACCTTCTGGATGCAGTTGATTGACAGTAGTGTTATGATGCCAGGGGTATAGTGACTAGAAAAAGAAAACCAGGGAATTCAGTGTTCTTGCTCATGAAGAACAGCTTGGTTCTTTAAAAACAATGAGATTTTGCCACCCCATCTCACAAACCTATGATTTGTGAGAACAATCCCTTTTGTGTTGCAAGACTTTTACATTTCTCTTCCCACACTATATTAGAAGAATAAACATTGCTTCATAAGTACCGATTGATAGTCTCATTTCATATTTTTAAAATAGAGTTACTTTAAGGTTAAATTTTTCATGTAGATTAAAATGACTAAGTAACCATTCACATATTTCAAATAAAATATATTTTTACTACAAAAGGAAAATAACTAGATTCTTAAGTGTTATAGTCAAGTGTAATTGAGTAATATGAATTCTAAATGAATTTCTAAGATCTGCTCAGCTTTCACTACTTTAGGAAGGAACAACTTAAGAAAAATTTTAATAAAGATATCTCTTCACACACATGGCAGTGTTGTACTTAGAGAACATGACCCAAAATTTTTTATGACTGCATATTGAATTCCTGATACTCTTGGGAAGCTCCAAAAGCACCAGTGGAGTTTCCAGATGTAACTGTGGCTGCAGACCCGCCAGTCCCGGTGTTGGAAGGGATCATTATAGGCTCTTGTGTGCAGACTCATCTTCAGACCCAGAGGAATTAAATAACTTGCCCAAAGTCGCACAACTTTCTCATGGTAGGTTGGGCACTAGAATAAATATTGCTTTTTCTTAAGAGTTTTAGCCTCCGTATTATGAAATCTTCTATGTTCTGCTGATGATATCTCCTTTCTTCATCTGTTTTCTATTTTTAAGCAATGGAAATACAAACTTGCAACTCCCCATTTCCAACACAACTTAGAAAAAACAATATTTAAAGAAAAAATTACAGGCATCTCATCTCCTTTACCTGACAGATGCTTGATAGTAATGGCCTCTAGATAGGGATGACATCTAATATAAATGTGTCCTTTCAAGTCAAGCTTTCTCTGTTCATTAGTAGAAATATTGTATATCAAGTGTGCAAAAATTTTCTTCAACAGGGAGCTTTGTTTCCCTCCTTTTATTATAACAATCTGAGCTTTGTGGTCCCAGGGTCTCCTAGTGCCTGTCTTTAGGTCTGTTTATTCACATGAAGAAAGCATGTCATATAGTATTATCTAAGACTCAGGCTGCTTATGCATGATGACAGAAGGGTTCCCAGGCACAAACATTCATCCATGCATTCATCCATCCACCTATTCATCCATTGATTTGGCTGATAATTATTGACTACTGTTGAGTTGCCCTCAGATTTAGTTTCTGTCCTTCTGCCATGGGGAAATATGGGGTTAAGCCACAACATACTCTTCTCTTCTTTTTCTGCACCTTCTTAGTATATTTAGTTCCATTTTGTCTAGCCCTGCCTCTGACTTCTTTGTTGTACTTCAGGTTTTTTATCATTGAAAGTTATTTCTGGATCATAGATCATTCTCTTGGTCACTTTGCTTGTTCACTTATAAAATTAATTCAGAAAAAATGACCCACAGTAATTACCGTAAATCACAGACCATAAACTATAATACTGTATATTGTATTATAGTACAGAAATATTTATACTTTAAAATGTTTTAAATATAGATATTATAAAAAGATATGTCTCATATAAGTAATATAAATACTTTTTTATTACCTCTTCTCTCCCTATTCTCCAGGCCAGTGTTTTAAAAATCCATCTTTATATGTCCATCCTGGAAAAAACTCATGATCATAAATGAGTTTCTCAATAGAGTTTATAAGCCCACAGTTGAAACACAATTGTCTTAGCATCCATTTAGTTGTCATACTTTTAAGATTTAATGGCAAATATTATGTTTTGTTTCTTCAAAAGAAATATTTTAAAATTTTAGTAAAGGCAGTTAGAGAAGGTAGAGATAATGGACTGTTTAATCCTACTTTTCATCCCACAAGTGAACAAAAAAATGATAAAACATTTTTCCCAAAATGTAGCTTTAACTATACTTAAATTTGGACTAAAATGGGAGATATCTTTTCTACTATTGAAAAGCCGTGTCTGTAGATTAATGCTAAAATCGGGTGTAAAAGCAAAATTTGTTTGGCTTGATTGCCAATGGCCCATTCATTTGGCTACAGAAACAATAGCACATAGCAACAGATAATGATGTGAGATCACCTAGCTCAAGTAAGAGTGTCTGATCCGTCAAAAATATATACATCAAGATTCAAAAGAAATGTGTGTTTTCTCAAGTCATCTCTGTAAAAATACATTAAATAGAGGAATAGAAGTTTGACTTTGAAAATACATTGCAGACCCAATCCGTCTTTCCTATTTTCTGGTGAAAAGTATCAAATATGTGGAACCTGGAACTGCTATTCTCCTTCTTAAAAATCTTTCTTAATATTCTATTGATAACTGGTGCAAGCCTAACTTTTTGTCTTACCCGATTCTTCTCACACCAAAGTGATAGGACCTTCAGGTAGCCTTTGGATAGAAGATAAATAATAATTTAACTATTGATGGAAGTTAGTATTAGAATTAGACTTGGAAGTCTATGGAATAAAATGATTCTACAACAATTTGTACTTCAGACATTAGTATAACAAAACATGTTTGCCCGTGCATGCGGAAACAACCAATTTCATGTGGATGCTTATATTCACAAAGGAGTAACCACCTGGGGTTTCCCACTGTTGCTCCAGAGAAAACTAGCAGCAGGAGAACTTCTCTGAAGGTATCAAGACATCTTTAAAAAACACTTGTTAAGTGTTGGTTCAGCTAAAGCAGGGAGTTTTCAGTTAGTAATGGCTTTTAAAAATTAAAACAAGTTTAGCATGTAGGTCATTAACCTTGAATCACTGTCATGATTATTATTAACCATCTGTTCTCAAATCGAAAGATATTTTTCTTTTCTAGATCACATTTATTCTCACATTGCTCAATTTCACTATATATCAAGACATGAAAACTGTAAAAATCACACCTTCTACATTATTATTTTTATTGAAAAATTCCTAATGAAACAGTGCGCTCTGGGATAGAGAAAGGAACTAACTGACATTTTGCTTCTTAACTTGTTTTTATGCAAGTTCTAAGTGGTTTCTGGCCATGTACATAAAAGACAAATATCTGGAAAAAAAACTAGCAGAAGTCAGTTATTTGGCTCTATCTACTTTGAGAATTATGTTATATAAATGTTAGGAAATTTTTTGTAATATTCTTATTTAGAAATGAAATATAAAAAGTTTTAAAAATATCTAAGGACAGTATACAGTCCTAAAGTAAAGCTGTTAGGTAAATGCTACACAATCCTCTTATTACAGAGTCACTTACCTGAGAATATAAGAAGAGGGCCTCTTGTTTAAGAGTAAATGTGAGCTGCAATCAGGATTCTGCACTCATTTGGACACTTAGTTTTGTTTTTCCATGACTGGTGTTGCCTGTTACTGAGACACCTACCTGTCATGTGACCACAGCTTATGTTACAATGTGTCTAGTCAGACTTAGAGATGTGTGAAAGAGCAGTACCTAGACGGGAAACTATGGGTCTATAAAGGTTTTGCCTTCTTGGGCGGAGTTCAAACTAGGAAGCCACAAAACTTCCAGTTGCATTTTCACAGATTAATGAAATATATTTTACACTTTTCCTGAAAGATATTTTATTTGTGCAAACCTTGTTACAAAGTACAGCCAGTTGATTAATCGATGAAGTGATTTGTAGTGGATTCTTATATTTTGTGTAAGGGTATATGTGAGGCCCTATATATGAGGCTTTCTATATAATGAAGTATAATTCAGTTCAGCATTTCAATTCAGCAATCACTTATTGGGCCTCTACTCAGTTGCCTTCAGGGCTTTATAATTTAATTGATAAAGGGAGGTTAATTAATTAATTATAACAACAGATCGCTTAATAGTGTAACTACTAATTTAATTAATGACAAATAACAATACATTAAAAGAAATGCATTAATAAAAATAATATATTGGTGTTATAGACAATAATTTTCTGATTAACTTTATTATTATTATTTCAATAGCTTTTGGGGAGCAGGTGGTTTTTGGTTATATGGAGAAGTTGTTTAGGTATGATTTCTGAGATTTTGGTACACTCATAACCTGAGCAGCATACACTGCACCCAATGTGTAGTCTTTCATTCCTCACCTTCCTCCCACCCTTCCCCTCAAGTCTCCAGAGTCCATTATATCATTCTTATGCCTTTGCATCCTTTAGTTTAGGTGGCAGTTATAAATGAGAACATGTAATGTTTGGTTTTCCACTCCTGAGTTACTTCACTTAGAATAATGGTCTCCAACTCTATCTACGTAGCTACAAATGCCATTATTTTGTTCCTTTTTATGGCTGAGTAGTATTCCATAGCATCCACACACACCCCCCTATGCTTTATATATATATGTAAATATATCACATTTTCTTTATCCACTCATTGGTTGATGGGTATTTAGGCTGGTTCCATATTTTTGCAATTGTGAATTGTGCAGCTATAAACATGCATGTGCAAGTGTCTTTTTCATATAATGACTTCTTTTCCTCTGGGTAGATACCTAGGAGTGGGATCGCTGGAACAAATGATTGTTCTACTTTTAGTTCTTTAAGGAATCTCCATAACTTTTCCATGGTGGTTGTACTAGTTTACATTCCTACCAGCAGTGTAAAAAAATGTTCCCTTTTTACCACTTCCATGCCAACGTTTATTTTTTTATTTTTTAATTATGGCAATTCTTGCAGGAGTAAGGTGGTATCACATTGTGGTTTTGATTTGCATTTCCCTGGTCATTAAAGATGTTGAGCATTTTTTCATATGTTTGTTGGCTGTTTGTCTATCTTCTTTTGAGAATTGTCTATTCATGTCCTTAGCCCACTTTTTGATAGGATTATTTGTTTTTTCTTACTGATTTGTTTGAGTTCCTTGTAGATTCTGGATATTAGTCCTTTGTCAGATGGATAGTTTGCAGATATTTCTCCCATTCTGTGGGTTGTCTGTTTACTCTGATGATTATTTCTTTTGCTGTGCAGAAGCTTTATAGTTTTAGGTCCCATCTATTTATCTTTTTTGTTGTTGTTGCATTTGCTTTTGGTTTCTTGGTCATGAACTCTTTGCTTAAGCCAGTGTCTAGAAGAGTTTTACCAATGTTATCTTCTATAATTTTTAAGGTTTTGGGTCTTAGATTTAAGTCTTTGATCCATCTTGAGTGGATTTTTGTATAAGTTGAGAGATGAGGATCCAGCTTCATTCTTCTACATGTGGCTTGCCAATTATCCCAACACCATTTGTTGAATAGGATGTCCTTTCCCCACCTTATGTTTTTGTTTGCTTTGTTGAAGATCAGTTGGCTGTAAGTATTTAGCTTTATTTCTGGATTTTCTATTCTGCTCCATTGATCTACATGTCTATTTTTATAGTAGTACCATGCTGTTTTCCTAACTATAGTCTTGTAGTATAGTTTGAAGTTGGGTAATCTAGTGCCTCCAGATTTGTTATTTTTTGCTTAGTCTTGCTTTGGCTGTATGGGCTGTTGTTTTGTTCCATGTGAATTTTAAGATTTTTTTTCTTGTTCTTTGAAGAATGATGGTGGCATTTTGATGGGAGTCGCATTGAATTTATAGATTGTTTTTGGCAGTGTGCTCATTTTCACAATATTGATTCTGCCAATCCATGAATAAGGGATGTGTTTTCATTAGTTTCTGTTGTCTGTGATTTCTTTCAGCAATATTTTGTAGTTTTCCTGTAGAGATCTTCCACCTCTTTGGTTAGGTATATTCCTAAGCATTTTTTTTTTTTGCAGCTGTTGTAAAAAGGCTCAAGTTCTTAATTTGATTCTCAGTTTTGTTGCTGTTGGTGTATAGCACTGGTACTGATTTGTGTACATTGATTTTGTATCTGGAAACTTTACTGAATTAACTTATCAGATCTAGGAGCTTTTTGGATGAGTCTTTAGGTTTTCTAGGTATACAAACATATCATCGGCAAAGAGCAACAGTTTGACTTCCTCTTTAGCAGTTTGGATGCTCTTTATTTCTTTCTCTTGTCTGATTGCTCTGGCTAGGATTTCCAGTACTATGTTGAATAGAAGTGGTGAAAGCAGGCATTCTTGTCTTATTCCAGTTCTCGGGGGAAATGCTTTCAAATTTTCCCCCGTTCAATATAATGTTGGCTGTGGGTTTGTCATAAGTGGCTTTTATTACCTTAAGGTGTGTATCTTATATGCCAGTTTTGCTGAGGGTTTTAATCATAAAGCAATACTGAATTTTGTCAAATGCTTTTTCTGCATCTATTGAGTTTATCATATGATTTTTGTTTTTACTCCTGCTTATATGGTGTATCACATTTATTGACTTGCATATGTTAAAGCAACCCTGCATCCCCGGTATGAAACCCACCTGATCATGGTGGATTATCTTTTTGATATGCTGCTGGATTCATTTAGCTAGTATTTTATTGAGGATTTTTACATCTCTGTTCATCAGGGATATTGGTCTGTAGTTTTCTTTTTTTGTTATGTCCTTTTCTGGTTTTGATATTAGGGTAATACTGGCTTCATAGAATGATTTAGGGAGGATTCCCTCTGTCTCTATCTTTTGGAACAGTTTCAATAGAATTTGTACCAATTTTTCTTTGAATTTCTGATAGCATTCACCTGTGAATCCATCTGGTCCTAGACTTTTTTTGTTTCCTGACATTTTTTCTATTATTGTTTCACTCTCACTATGCATTATTGGTCTGTTAATAATTTCTATTTCTTCCTGTTTTAATCTAGGAGGTTTGTATATATGCAGGAATTTGTCCATCTCTTCTTGGTTTTCTAGTTTGTGTACGTAAATGTGTTCACAGTAGTCTTGAATAATCTTTTTTATTTCTGTGGTATCAGTTGTAGTATCTCCCATTTCATTTCTAATTGAGCTTGTTTAGATCTTTTTTCTTGTTTTCTTGGTTAATCTTGCCAATGGTCTATTGATTTTGTTTATCTTTTCAAAGAAGCAGGTTTTTGTTTCATTTATCTTTTGTATTGTATTTTGTGTTTCAATTTTATTTATTTATTTATTTATTTTTATTTTTATTTTTTGAGATGGAGTCTCACTCTTGTTACCCAGGCTGGAATGCAACAGTATGATCTTGGCTCACTGCAACATCTGCCTTCCAGGTTCA
Source organism: Homo sapiens (assembly GCF_000001405.40). Taxonomy (NCBI): domain Eukaryota; kingdom Metazoa; phylum Chordata; class Mammalia; order Primates; family Hominidae; genus Homo; species Homo sapiens. Next base: position 89,777,835 of record NC_000004.12, on the reverse strand, counting down.
AGTGATTCTCTTGCCTCAGCTGCCCGAGTAGCTGGGACTACAGGTGCCTGCCACCACACCTGGCTAATTTTTGTATTTTTAGTAGAGACGGGGTTTCACCATGTTGGCCAGGCAGGTCTCAAACTCCTGACTTATGGTGATCCGCCTGCCTTGGCCTCCCAAAGTGCTGCGATTACAGGTGTGAGCCACCACACTAAGACTCAATTTTATTTATTTCTATTCTGATCTTTGTTATTTCTTTTCTTCTGCTGGGTTTGGGTTTGCTTTGTCTTGTTTTTCCAGTTCCTAGAGGTGTAAGCTCAGATTGTCTATTTGTGCTCTTTCAGACTTTTTGATGTAGATATTTAATGCTATGAACTTTGCTCTTAACATGGCTTTTGCTGTATCCCAGAGGTTGTGATAGGTTTTGTCATTATTATTGTTGAATTCAAATATTTTTAAAATTTTCATCTTTCTTGATTTCATTGTTGACCCAAAGATCATTCAGGAGCAGATTATTCGATTTCCATGTATTTGTATAGTTTTGAGGGTTTCTTTTGGAGTTAATTTTTAATTTTATTCCACTGTGGTCTGAGAGAATACTTGATATAATTTTGATTTTCTTAAATTTATTGAGACTTGTTCATATGGTCTGTCTTGGAGAATATTCCATGTGTTGATGAAAAGGATGTAGTTGTTGGGTAGGATTTTTTGTAAATATCTGTTAAGTCCATTTGTTCTAGGGTATAGTTTAAGTCCATGTTTCTTTGTTGACTTTCTGTCTTGATGACCTGTCTAGTGCTGTCAGTGGAGTACTGAAGTCCCCCACTATTATTGTGTTGCTGTCTATCTCATGTCTTAGGTCTAGTAGTGATTGCTTTATAAATTTGGGAGCCCAAGTGTTAGATGCATATACACTTAAGATTGTAAATTTTTCCTGTTGAACTAATTATTTTATCATTATATAATGTCTCTCTTTGTCTTTTTTAATTGTTGTTGCTTTAAAATCTTTTTTGTCTGATATAAGAATTGCTATTCTTTCTCACTTTGAGTTTCCATTTGCATGGAATATCTTTTTCCACCCCTTTACCTTAAGTTTATGTGAGTCCTTACGTGTTAGGTGAGTCTCTTGAAGACAGCAGATACTTGGTTGATGGATTTTTATCCATTCTGCCATTCTGTATCTTTTAAGTGGAGCATTTAGGCCATTTACATTCAACATTAGTATTGAGGTATGAGGTACTGTTCTATTCATCATGATAGTTGTTGCCTCAATACCTTCTTGTTGTTGCTGTTGTTAATTGTGTTATTATTTTATGGGTCCTGTTAAATTTATGCTTTAAGGAGGTTCTATTTTGATGTATTCAAGTTACTGTTTCAAGATTTAGAGCTCCTTTTAGCATTTCTCAGTGCTGGCTTGGTAGTGGCAAATTCAGCATTTGTTTGTCTGAAAAAGACTTTATCTCTCTTTCATTTATGAAGCTTAGTTTCACTGGATACAAAATTCTTGGCTGATAATTATTTTGTTTAAGAGGCTAAATATAGGGCCCAATCTCTTCTGGCTAGCAGGGTTTATGCTGAGAAATCTGCTATTAATCTGCTATGTTTTCTTTTATAGGATACCTGATGCTTTTGCCTCACAGCTCTTAAGATTCTTTCCTTCATCTTGACTTTAGACAACCTGATGGCTGTGTGCCCAGGTGGTAATCTTTTTGCATTGAATTTCCCAGGTGTTCTTTGTGCTTCTTATATTTGGATATCTAGATCTCTAGCAAGACTAGGAAGTTTTTCTTGATTATTCCCTCAAATAAGTCCTTAATGACCCCACTATATAACATGAAATATCTGTTATTGGTACTGAGGTGCTGGCCACAAACAATTCTGTGTGTCCTGAAAACTCTTCAGAATATTCGTCATCTTTAGCACTTGTTATCTTAGTGTTTGGGCTTGGCTTAGAGTGATACATCTCATAACAGGGCAACAGAAAGAACCAGGAACCAAGATTTATATAACATAAGTCAGTAAAACTAGAGGCACCAGAGGTTTACATTTACATTAGGTTACATTTTCTAACAGGTAGCAAAGCACATGAATGAAGTTCAGTGGAAGGCCTTCCTCAGGAATCCAGTAAAAACCAAACATACACACACACACACGGACATCCGTGAGGCAGGAAGGGATGTCCACTATAGTACAGACAAGCATCCTGGAAGGCCATCAAGGAGTAGGTGGGTTTCAGTTGCCTCAGGAATGTGGCATGGACCCAAACTAAGTGAGTACAGATACTTGTCATTGAGGAGAAGATTCAAAATAGCATCCTAGGTGTAAAAACTGAGGCACCTGGGGCAGGGGAACTAGGTCTCTGGAATGTTGGCTTAAAAGCACCCCTCTCAGGAAAGGCCTCATATGCCATGCAGGGGGTTATATATGTGTTGTGGGACACAGATGGCAAGGAGATAATTCTATGCACCAGGCTCCACTACTAACAGGTAAACAGACCAACATTAACAGAGACTTAGGTAAAAAGGTAGGTGCCCAGTGGTCAGTTCTCAGGCACTTCCAAGATGCACCTAACAGAAATGTAACTTGGTGTCTATTGTGTCCTAGGTCTAACAACTGAAGAGAAGTGAATTAGTACCTCTTGTGGACAGAGAAACAGGGGCAGAGACCCATTACAAAGCTGTCTCAGATAGGCATTTGAAGCTGTTTAAGTATGTAGAGGCTTAAGTCAGGCTGGTTCTGAAATGTGAGAGAGGGTTAAGCTTCATGGGAAATCAGCAGGGTAGTTTGCTATTTTTTATTATAACCAATCTCACAATAGTTTGGGACATCAAATATCAAATTGTTGGGAATATTTATCCATATTAGTCTTTTTGCCACTAATATTTAAAAATAGTTTACAATATACAACAAAAAGTTGTAAAATTTCCATCTCCACTTAATCGATCTTATGTAACCCATACAATACATCAAATGTCCTTTCCCCACTTTATGTTTTTATTTGCTTTGTCAAAGATCACTTGGCTGTTAGCATTTGGGTTTATTTCTAGGTTCTCTATTCTGTTTTATTGGTCTGTGTGCCTATTTTTATACCAGTGCCATGCTGTTTTGGTGACTATGGCCTTATAGTATAGTTTGAAAGCAGGTAATGTGATGCCTCCAGATTTTTCTTTTTGCTTAATCTTGCTTTGGCTATGTGGGCTCTTTTTTGGTTCCATATGAATTTTAGGATTGTTTTTTCTAGTTCTGTGAAGAATGATGGTGGTATTTTGATGGGAATTGCATTTAATTGTAGATTTCTCTTGGCAGTATTACCCAGGCTTTTCTTATTTTGGCACCCTGTGCTGCTGTCTCCTTTTCCTTCTTTCTGCTTCTCTTAACCAACTGTTACCTACACTTCAATACTTTCTGAGGGCAATTCATCCTCCAGTAAGTCTCCCTGAATCTTCTCTTCCTTCCCTGGCTTATTATATATCCTTCCTCTTGGTTCCCATAGCACCTATGCACACTTCTGTCATTGCACTTGCCAATTTGTTTTATAATGATCTGCTCATCTGTCTCCTCACTTAGACTATGAGCTCACTGAGAGCAATGGCTGTTGCATTCACCTTATATCCTCAACACCATTCTGAAGGCAAGAGAAAGAATACCCAGAGGTGGAGCTGGGAAGCTGGTTGTCCAAGTAGTGAATGACTCTAGTTTGAATTGAACTCTATAGCCAGTGGGCAATGTGGATGTGTTGACAGTTTTTTAACAGGGGACTAGTGAAAACACATTTTGGGTTTAGAAAAAATTGCAAGTCTGATGACATACATAGGAGAAGAGATTAGAGATAGGAATTTCACTTCAGAAATTTAACCACAAGAGCAAGTGACAGATCACGGAAGTCTGAACCAGACTATAAATGTGAGAATAGAGAAAAAAGTTAACAATTTGGGTGTGAAAGGGCGAGGGAGAGAGGTGTGAAGAATGACTAAGTGTGGATCTGTTTTTAAGGATTGAATGGAAATTTGAGCATTTTAGCTAATCAGGCCTAATATTGAGCAAAGCAAAACTCTTGCAAATTGTTATTTCAAGTGTGGGCTGAGAAAATGAAAAAATATAAATTCTCACGTTATAACCTCTTCCGTGTGTCTGATTTGATAGAATCCAGCCCCATTGCCTCCAAATTCCATTGCATCTTAGACCAGCAAACACAAGTGAATTCTACTTAACCCCAGAATTCTGTATGAAAATCTTACTGCCTTTTTTTTTCTAATCATGTGTCAAAGTGTGGGAAGAACTTTTATTTATGTTTTAATAAATTGTCAGTATAACCATTTTTACTTGAAAATATTATAATTTTTCAAGTAAACAAATTGTTTCTCTAAGTTGAAAATTTTATGATGGAATAAAAGTATTTTTCCTCAAAACACATAGAAATTTTACAACAATATTTTAGAGTTAACTAAATGTTTCTTTAGTAGTTTAGTCACTTAAAAAGTGATATGATTATGAAAATACTTAAACTTTGTCTTTTAACTATTTCTAATAATGCTATTGGTATAATTTCATATTTTTATACTGATCTTTTCTCCAAACTTTAGTAAAACATACTTCTGTAAACCCCTGCCCACAAAACTGAAGTCCACATTTACTTCTGAATGACTGATAAGTTTGTAAAAGTATGCATGAATTTCGTTATTAAATTAAAGTTTTTATTATATTTTATGCACAATGGTATAAATTATTAAATTAATTTTCAAGCTTATAGAACATTGATAAAGATTGTCATTAGAAAACCCTGAGTTGATTGTTATACATTACATAACCTTTCATTGGTGGATTAGTGAATATGTTATAGGGTGACCATGAATCCAAAGAATCAAAGCTGGCTACAGCAAACAGAGGGTCAAAAGGATATGGAACTATGCATGATCCAGCAAAACACTCAATATCTGTTTTCCTGGAATGTTAAAAGACAAAGAAGAAAACTTGGGGAACACTAGATGCATATAGTTCTGGTTCTTTAAGAATAAAAATATGGGCCGGGCCCGGTGGCTCATGCCTGTAATCCCAGCACTTTGTGGGAGGCCAAGGCGGGTGGATCACAAGGTTAGGAGTTCAAGACCAGCCAGGCCAACATAGTGAAACCCTGTCTCTACTAAAAATACAAAAAAAAATTACAAAAAAAATACAAAAAAAAAAATAGCCAGGTGTGGTGACAGGCACCTGTATTCCCAGCTACTTGGGAGGCTGAGGCAGGAGAATCACTTGAACCCGGGAGGCAGAGGTTGCAGTGAGCCAAGATAGTGCCACTGTGCTCCAGCCTGGGTGACATAGTGAGACTCTGTCTCAAAAAAAAAAAAAAGAATAAAAACAAGAATGGTCAGAGTCCTAGTACCTTGTCCAGTGTAGTGCTGCCTTGAGATTGCATTGCAATCTGTCTGAGAGATAGTAAAAGAAAGTGATACCTTCCTTAGCCCTGTTTCTCTTTAGACTATGCTTTCCCCTCTCCAAGTTAATATCTCTCAGTCTAAAGCCTGGGAAAAGGTGCCAATTTTGTTTTTCTTTCTTCCTCACACCTCCTAGAAGTTACACTGGGACACTATTACTTTTTTCCAGGCTTTGGCCATGTGTATTGTTTTGGAGAGTCAACTTCCTTTTTTCTTTCATTCTGCAAATAGTTTTGAGCTGTCACTCTGTACTAGGTGCTATAAAACTTACAGGTGCATTTTACATGCCTATTTCCTATAGGCCACGATTTAACAAAATGTTCATAAATGAGAATTAGGAGTGCATGTATTGAATCACCACACATTAACTGAACAGCTTTCATTGGCCAGAGACTATATTGACAGTGGAGATTCAAAGATAAACTAGAGAAATCTCATGCTTAAATAACTTTCTATAATAAATTATATAAGAGAAGTAGGTTCAGGGATCTTGGGAGCTCAGAAGCAGGATGAGTTAAACAAAAGTTGGATTTTGCCTTTAGCTTGGTTTCATTATCCTGAAGGAAGAGCCTGAAATATAGTGTAGGGTGCAAGTAGTATATGTGGGTGGCAATCTCGGGAAACAGGAGCATGTGATGAATAAGGAGAAAAAGCCAATATAAAGGTACTGCATTGAGGGCAATGAGGGCTCTAATTCTCTGCACCTTCTCAAGCATTGTGCAGATTGGTTTTCTGGATTATCAGCCTGAAGGACAAAACGAAGAAACAGCCATTAGCTCCTGTCTCCCATTGTCTGAGAGCTGCCACTAGGATATTAACTTCCTGAAATTCTGCAGAAATCTCCTCTTACTTTGGCACTGGAGATGCCCATACGCAGAAAGCAAAAAGGCACAGCATATTTAAGGAAGCTCATAAGAAACAGTGCATCCAGAAGTGGCGAGAATTGGAGGAATGGACATGAGACTCTAAGAACCAGCGCCTTTGATGTTCCTTTTGATCTGTTATGTAGCTCTTCTTGTACACAGGTGAGCAAAGGCATGCTGGACAAATGGATTCACATGTGCTAAAGCATGGGGCAAAAACCACATATTAATTCAGGAAAAGACAAGATGCGTGGCCCTCTCTGTCTCTGTCTAAGGGTGAATTAAAGAGGGGATATATGTACAGAGTGGCAGGGCAGGACTTGAGATAAGAAGGCTAGGTGGGTGCTCTCATGCTAGTAGCATTATAGTACAGGTGATGAGAAGCTCCTGAAGAATCATCTTAACATTTGTATTTTAGAGCAACAGTATTGAGTTCTGACTTAGAGACAGCAAAACTAAAGACAGAAAGACTATTTTGATTATTAATGATGTAGATATAAGAATATCGTCAATGTGAACTAAAGCATGAAGCTACTTATGATATATCATTAAAAGGATTTAACTGATTGGAGACAAACGAGAGGGATGGGGAAAAGAATTCATTTGTTTTTAGTTGCTCTTTTTTTCCTACTTATTCCTTTGTTCCGAGTGTGAATAAACTTTGTAAACTTTTATACTAAAACATTCTGCTCATTCATACTTATTTCTTTGATGAAACAAGGAAACCCTTGTATAGTTATAAACGTGTGAATCAATTTAAATATTAGGAAATTTTTTTAAATAAAGCTAGTTTTCTGAAGGGGAAAAACTTGGTTCAATTTTTTGCTGGCAATCTGCTTTGTGATTTTTGAACATGATATCTACATCTAGACTCATGTTTTGCTAGCTGGAATTTTTTTTCAAATTAACGCTACCATTATTATATGCTTTACTATTTAGCTTTTGCAGCCTTGGAAATCTATGATTAATACAAATAATTCTCTATGGCAATTTTAAAAATACATGTAAAAGCCTTCAATCTACATTGCTACTGTGTCGTAGCACAAAAAAAGAAAATGTGATCAAATTTTAATAAAATCTACAATTTATTCCCTTCTAAATACAGTCCTAGCTCAGGAGAAAGGAAGCTATTTGTATTTTTCAGAATCAAATTTCCCTAAATGAATATAGAGAAAGAATTATAACTGAAATATTGTTGAAACAGTGGTCATCTCAAATCTGAAGGTCATTCCAAAAAAGTTTCTGAGTTTTCATTGCCTCAATCTAAAAGTTGGCCTTTTTGGTAATAGATGAAAGTAAAATAATTGAAAGGGTCTGTTGCAGTTTTGGAATATCTTGAAAATATAGTAGAGTGAAGCCTTCTTCCCTTAAATAAAAGACAAGTTGCTGATTGTTTTCTTTCTAGCCAGATAAGAATAATGCCTTCTTTCTCTTGTTAGTCTTAACACCTCACTTGTTACTATGTGTCAGAAAGGCGAGACACCATAAATGGAGATACTACTGATGGAGGTCATCTGACATGGGGCTGGTAGGCAGTGGGAAGACTGGTATGGACACAGGTGGCTTAGGGGTTGGGGAATGATATGGAACTAAGGAAATGATAATTAGCAGAACCCAGTGTGCATGTGTGTGCATTCGTGTGTCCGTGTATGTGTGTACTGTAGCACAATGCAAGAAAGAAAAAACAAGGCAGACTTTTCATAATTTCAGGGATAAATAAATCCTTTATCACTTCATGTAGAATATTGGCTACTTGGAGGTATATCTAAACGTAAATATATAACTATATAACTACATGCTAATTAAAAACATACAAAGAAGAAGTGCCTAAAGAATTACAACAGAAAGTGGCATAGTGATTATTAGAGTTAATATAATATAAATAAGGCCAGGCATGGTGGCTCATGCCTATAATCCCAGCACTTTTGGAGGTCAAGTTGCAGGGATCACTTGAGGACAGGGGATAGAGACAAGCCTAGCCAACATGGTGAAACCCATCTCTACTAAAAATACAGAAATTAGCTGGGTGTGGTGATGGGCGCTGGTAATCCCAGCTACTCAAGAAACTGAAGCAGGAGAATTGCTTGAACCCGGAAGCTGGGGCTGCAGTGAGCCAAGATCGCGCACTGCACTCCAGACTGGGTGACAGAGAAAGACCCGGTCTCAAAAAATTAAAAAATAGTATAAATAATATTTCAAAACACAAGTCTGTTAAGATAAAAGGTACAGAGGAATGGTGAGATGACTTTTTTATTTGTGTGATAAGGGACTGTTTTCTGTGATTGTGAGAAAGACCAGGAGTTAAGAAAAAGTGGCCATCAATAAATCAGCCACTTATGGGGAAGAACCATAAACCACTCTCAGATGAAATACAAATGCAGTCATTATTTAATATTATTGGAATATTTGTATTAGTTTTTGGTATGTGCTGCTAGTGCTGGTACATTTTAGTAGTCAATTAATATTTTGTTAATCTTAATTTCTAACTAAATTCCAGAGTGAAATGGAAATAATAATGAAAAAATTTTATTTACAAAACAGATTTTGTTTTTTTCTGTTAAGAATGATACACAGTTGTCCTTCAGTAGCCATAGGGGATTGGTTTCAGGACCTCCCTTGGGTACTAAAATCTGCAGATGCCTAAGCCCCTGTTATAAAATGGCTTAGTATTTGTATATAACCTATGCACATCCTCTCATATACTTTCAATCAGGGGTCCCCAACCCCAGGGCCATGACCAGTACTGGTCCATAGCCTGTTAGGCTGTTCGATACCAGGCTGCACAGCAAGAGCTGAGCTCCTCCTCCTGTCAGCTCAGTGGTGGCATTAGATTGCCATAGGAGCACGAACCCTATTGTGAACTGCACATGTGAGGGATCTAGGTTGTGCGCTCCTTATGAGAATCTAATGATAAATGTAATGTGCTTGAATCATCCCAAAACCATTCCCCTTCCCCTCACCATCCCTGTCCGTGGAAACATTTCTTCCAGAAAACCAGTCCCTGGTGCCAGAAAGGTTGGGGACTGCTGCTTTAAATAATCTCTAGATTACTGATAATGCCCAATACAATGTAAATTCTATGTAAATAGTTTTTATACTATATTGTTTAGAGAATAATGAAAAGAAAAAGTCTACATGTTCAGTTTAAGTGTTGATAAGTGTGTAGAGAAAAGGGAACCCTTGTACATTGTTGGTGGAAATATAGATTGGTGCAGTCATTATGGACAATAGTACGGAGGTTCCTAAAGAAATTAAAATTAGAATTACCTAAGACCCAGCAATCCCTCCTCTGGATGTACCCAAAGGAAATAAAATCATCACCTCATAAAGATATCTGCACTGCTATATTCATTGCAGCATTATTTACAGTAGCCAAGATATGGAAACCACCTAGGTATGTGTTGGTGCATGAATGGATAAAAGAAACTGTGGTATATGTATATACAATGGAATATTATTCAGCCTTAAAAAAGGAGAAGACCCTGTCATTTGCCACAACATGCATGGACCTGGAGGATATTAAGCTGTGGGAAATAAGTCCAACACACATCCACACACAAAATTGCATAATCTCACTTATATGTGGAATCTAAAAAGAAAAAGTTCAAATATAAAGTTAGAATAAAACAGTGGTTACCGGCCGGATGTGGTAGCTCACGCCTGTAATCCTAGCCCTTTGGGAAGCCGAGGTGGGTGAATCACCTGAGGTCAGGAGTTCAAGACCAGCCTGACCAACATGGTGAAATCCTGTTTCTACTAAAAGTACAAAAATTAGCCGGGCATAGTGGCAGGTGCCTGTAATCCCAGCTACTCAGGCAGTTGAGAAAGGAGAATCACTTGAACTCAGGAGGCATAGGTTGCAGTGAGCCGAGATGGCGCCACTTCACTCCAGCCTGGGCAAAAGAGCAAAACTCTGTCTCAAAATAAAAAAACAAAAAACACAGTCCACACACTGGTTACCATGAGTGAGGTGGCAGGGAGGAGATTGGGAGATGTAGATCTAAGGATACAAAGTAGCAGATATGTAGGAGGAACTAAAAAGCTGACATGCAGGATGACAACTATAGTTAGTAATAGTGTATTGTATTCAGGATTTTTGCTAATTGAGTAGATTATAGCTGCTCTTGCCACAGGGGAAAAAGTGGGTAACTACGTGAGATAGACAATGGATGTGTTAATTTTTGTCACTATAATAACCTTTTCACCATATACATTCATCTTATAACAGCATGTTGTTTACTGTAAATATATACAATAAAATTTATTTTTAAATATCTGAGTATGATTTGATGATTTGTGAAAATAGAGTGAATTATAATAATTTTAAATGTAAGTTAATGTTATTAGAAAAGAAACAGAAAGAACATACCACACAGAAAGTCTGTCTGAAGGATCTTTGTTTTCTCCACCAATACAAGTGTTCATTGATTCAGAGGTGGATTATGAGATATGACCATAAAACAAAAATTTCAAGGGAAATATATTTTATTCAATGAAAAATTCTCAACACAACTGTTATATGCCAGTAAACACTATATCTTTTAAATAACAGGTCATATCTATTATATTTAAAATTCAAGGAGAGACTACATTAGAGATGCTATTAGATCAACTTCTAATTTCAAAGATTTCTAAGATATGGAACAGTTACTCCTTATACAAATTAAAAAAGCAAATGCTGAAGAAATTCAGCTACATGGATACACCATGAGGTGGAAAGATGCTCCATAACTCTTAGTTAAACTGCACTAATTACACATAAAAGGAAAATGTTTCATTTCACTGTAATTTGGAAACCAAAGAAAGAAAAGACTGAATTTTTACATACTGTTAAAGAGATTGCGTATCTGTTCTAAGTTTAAGACAGAGGCAAAATGTATTTTATTCATTTGTCCTGCACCGTTTAGAAATAAAATTCAACTTCCTTTTAATTTTTTTTAAGAATAAAAAACTCAGTCTAAGGAAAGTCTTAAAGTTTTCATTTTAAGTGATCCACTGTTCTAGAAGTTTAATATTTTGTTTAAAATGTTTATGTTCTGTATTCCACCAAGTCTAGTTTTAAAACAAAACAAACAACAACAAAATACTTCTCTAACTTGGAGTTTAAGGTGAAAGAAACCAATTACGTGGTTTGGAAATGTCACACTTTTCATCTCTTTTTTAAAAAAATTTTTAATTCAGGACAGAAATTGTATGGATTTAGTGTAAGTCTTGGGATCTCACAAGTGTCAGTATTTCACTCTCCTCCATATCTTGATAGCAATAACTTGAAATAGGATCTCAGTAGCTCAAGCAATACTGGGCTCTGAGAGTTGGTTAAAAATTATTTGGCTGAGCGCCTGTTGCTGAGGGAAGAACTAATCTCGAGCATATTTTTGGAGCCAAATACCAAATTGTTTGTGCTTAGCAACACAGCACCAGGCTTGCCCTTCAGAATGATTCTAGACCAAATGCCAGAAATGCTCTGGTTCTGACTACAGAGTTCTATTCACAAATGACAGGAGGCAAGAGGTCCTCCTCACTTTCAGAAGAAAGGTCCTTTGCTTTCTTAGTCAATGGTAGGAAAACCATTGTGGTTTTCATTGCATTACATAATTTTTAAGGTGATTACTTCAATAAGAAGTGCTCTGTGTATATGTGTGTTTATAGACGCATTTTTTAAACACTGGAGAATTTCTGAAAGTAGTACAAACCTTGTAATGTCAAGTAGATGTGGGAAAAAGGGAGTTTACAACATTCTCTCCTGACATTGCTCTCCTTTGGCATCTGCATTTTTAAAATGTTAAAAATGTTTAAAAACGTGTGCTTAACACTTAATTTGGTGATAGTTGCTGTTACCAAGGCAACTCTGTAACTCCACCCAGATAAAAATAAATCTTGAAGATGAGTTTCTGTGTCTCTGAGCAAATATTTTTGTGAATAGTAGAAGCAGAGAAAGTTAAAGATACCTGAGCTTTTGATCTTTACTAGTTTTATAGATATGTTTATAGTTATACATTTTTATTCATACATTTTAGATAAATAACTTTGTAAAGCAATTGATTCTTCTTGTAAAAATCAAGTATATTCTTAATAGACTGATAAACTTTCTTTTTTTGAGACAGAGTCTTGCTCTATTGCCCAGGCTGGAATACAGTGCCATGATCTTGGCTCACTGCAACCTACCTCTGCCTCCTGGGTTCAAGCAATTCTCCTGCCTCAGCCTCTTGAGTAGCTGAGATTACAGGTGCATGGTACCACACCCCACTAATTTTTGTATTCTTAGTAGAGATGGGGTTTTGCCATTTTGGCCAGGCTCTGAGAAACTTTTTAAGGTCTCTTTTGCAGCCAGCTATTTGTCTACCTTATTTCATTCTTAATCTCACTAGCCAATATTTTTTCTGTTTAAGTGCTTTCAGCAAATATTAAATGCTTGTGCCTTCAGTCTTATCCTGTGGAAACACTGGTAATGACAAAAACACATATTTCAACCTAATATACAATAGAAACAGAATGCCAGTTATTCATGGAGGAGAAGAATAGACTTCTGTATTTAAAATAACATTTTGCTCTGTGTTTTAAAATCATTCTTCCTTCATCAATTGTAAGCATCTTGACTATAATTTATACACCTAAAGATAAATAATTCAGTAGCAATGATAACTGAAAACAGGACACATACAATGAACTAGCTAAATTACCATACATTCTCATCCATTTCAAAAATAGCTCTGTACTTTTTTCAGATTTTGTTAGAAGAATATTCAATACAAATTTTTATTCAATGAACACTTCAGATGTCAAGATTGTTACCCACATGGACAACAGTAACCTAGGTAAAGATTCTGCAGCCAGGCGTGGTGGCTCACACCTGTAATCCCAGCACTTTGGGAGGCTGAGGCGGGCAGATCATGAGGTCAGGAGATCGAGACTATCCTGGCTAACATGGTGAAACCCCATCTCTACTAAAAATACAAAAAATTAGCCAGGTGTGGTGTCATGTGCTTGTAGTCCCAGCTGCTCGGGAGGCTAAGGCAGGAGAATCGCTTGAACCCGGGAGGTGGAGGTTGCGGTGAGCCGAGATTGCACCACTGCACTCCAGCCTGGGTGACAGAGCGAGACTCTGTCTCAAAAAAAAAAAAAAAAAATTTTATACCTGGGCTCTGTGCTCACCAGCAGAAGGGGTAACATGGCTTCTTAGGACAACCTTACTTGACCATTTACTTCTTTGACACTAGGGGTATTCTTAGATCAGCAGGTCCTTCCCTCCACTTATGCACATGAGGCTCACAGAGAGTCTGGGAGGCAGGGAATTTATGATTGGAAACAGTATACTTTTTATCTAAGAAATTATTAATGTCACTGCATTCAAGTGATTAACACCATCAATATCTTCAAGACTAAGGGGATTACATGATGTGTAAAATTAGAAAACTGTCATCTACTAGTGGCTAGGCACTTTAATTATATTAAGCATGCAACAAGAGAACTCTTCAAATGAATCCATCTCTCCTCTGTATTATTTCCAACCCTTGGATCCCCATCTGTTTCTGCAGACAACAGCTATGCTGCTGAATGTCTTAATGGTTTGCTGCCCCAACTAGCTTCAAGATACTGCAGGTCAAGCATAGCATCTTACTCTTCCCTGCATCTCCAGCACCTCTCAGAATGTTGGTCACATAGAAGATGTTTGCTGAGGAGTTGAATAAGAATATGTACAAGGGACACAATTAGCATTGTTTAAAAAAGATGTAACAAGATAGGGTAAAGGAAAGCTTTGGAGGATAAATCTTTAGAACAATCAATAATATCTTCTCCTCTGTTGGTTAGTTGCCCTTCAATCTCAGCCACTGAATCAAATACAACATAATTACTATTCTGATATGTTCTTGAATCGAATATCCAATAATAAGATATTCGGATGCATAGCCATGTCTAATATCAAAGCCCATGCTTTTCGCTATTATTGTACTCCATACATTAGCTTCCAAATTTATTTGCAATCCAAATATTAAAAGCAAGTCATAAGCTTAGTATCGCCAATGTGATACTAAGTATCCACTTACTAAACTTTATTTTCAAAATGTGGTTTTATCTCAGTTTAATGAACACGGCATGTTTTAATTTACACTTTCATATTATATAGTAAGGGCGTGGTTACAGATATGTTAATTTCCTGTGCTGCTTCACAATGATGGAACATAATAGCAAATGAAACTGTTAATTTGCAGATACCCATAGGCCTTTGGTGTCTGAATAGAAATAAACACACCTACAACTGAGAGAGGAAGCATGTGAAGCATTCCAGTGAACAGAGGCCATTTATTCAGTCACAGACACAGGAGAAAAACAACAATTAAAAAAAAATCTCTGATGAAAAGTTCATAAAAAGTTCACTCAGTTTAAGCATATGTCCTATAACTACTTAAAATAGAGTTCTTCTTAAATATCATTCTTTGCTGTTTTTAGATTTCTTCTGCCTGTATCAAATTAATAGAACACAGCATACTTTTAATTTGCTCTGGTTTCTTAGTGGGGCATTTATTAAACACATTAAAACAATAGTCTCAGGGTTTTACTGCTGATGTTAAAGTTCTGCTTTCCTACTTACCAACTGTGTCATCTTAAGGCACATACTTTGCCTCTCTCTCAAATCTCCCAAATGGAGAATGATAAGAATACGTACCTCAATTAAAGAAGCTATAACAAGTAGAATGTTTGGAAAAGTGCCGGGTACACCATAAGCCCACTATGAGTATTGGATTGTATTACCTCTGAAAGCTGCAGAATGGAATTCTCAAAGTTATATGTCCCTAAAATCCTCTTAAGTGACAGAAATGGAGAAATTAGCAGTCTGTCTAAGAGAGCTTTTCTAGAGTCTGGGCATATGTTTTTAGGACAAGACAGTTCAGCTTCAGCTTAAAATGAGAGAGCACGTCTGTGTCCTTACTCCTGGGTGCCAGGTTTCTTGTCCCCATCTTAAGACAAATAATTTTGGTGGAGAAGAGGCAGTCTCTTTGATTTCGCTCTAAAAACCTTTTCTGGAGGAGGTAGACACTCTCCACCCCCGTTTTGAGACTCATGCAGCTGAGGATGACTGGCTGAGTACAAGCAATTGTTCCTTCTAAGCAGTTTCAATTCTTATAACTTGTGGAGATATTCTTAAGTCCAGGGGATTTTGTGTATGGTGGATTTTTATTACAAAGTCCTGTACTTCATAGGAACAAAATAATTCAAAGTCAGGAACCAGATCAAAGCCACAACTCAGATATGGCACCTTGAGAAGTTCATTTGTATTTCACTTGCATAAAAACCCTCACCACTGCTATCTGATTTTCACAAATCATTCAACAGCTATCCATGAAGCACCCACTGTGTGTCTGGTCTCTGTGTCAGTCCCTGGCTTCATGTGTCTTTCCTTCTGTACCCTGACTCCCCAACTCATGAACACATGAAGTAAAAAAATGAAAATCTTTTTCTGACCTCTCTTCAAAATCACTTTTTTCAAAACAAACACCTCTCACCTGCTCATCCTCCAGCCAGTAAATCACAGGGGCCTAGAAATGTCACTTACAAATATTTTCTGATTCTGTCCCTCCCTTCAAGCTTGCCAACATTATCACAGTTTAGGGCCTGCTCATCTTTCCCCCAATCTCCAATTAGATCTCTCCACAATGCAATTCTGCACATTCCCTGTTACAACCCTTCAATTATTTCCCAGCCCATCCAAAATAAAATCTAAGCCTCTTACTAACACATTCAGGAACTCTGTGGCCTACGGTTTTCTACAGACTAATTTTCCAGCAGTTGACTTCCAGTGCAAGTGAAAACCTAGTGTCATGCCTGCATGATAGATAAATTTGAAGCTGAAGAGCCCAAATGTATAGACCATGCCATGAAAGGTTTATAGTCATGACACAGTGGCCCTATAGTACAGTGCTTGAAGCTGGCTCTCTACTGTCAGACAGACCACTTGCCAGCCATGAGACCTGGGGCAAAATGCCTTAATTTTTATGTGCCTCAAGTTCTCATGTGAGATGAGAATAAAAATTACCCCTATTTCATAAGATTTGATAAAGTGTTTAGCATAATACCTCATAACAATTGCAATTCAGTGGTGGTTATTATTATAAAGAAAAGATGATTAACTTTATCTTAATGTTTAACTTGTTCTGATAGTTATTGATCTATAGCTTTGATATGGAGGTTTGAGAATGACCTGGAAAGAATTGGCCACAATGATTGAAGATAGTGATACAAGAATAAAAGATGACTGCAAAATGTAAACCTGCAATAACAGAAAGAATGAAGTCACTGGTCTCATGGGAACTGATATGGGAGAAAAAAACAGATCAAAAGGCTATTCATGTTTTGGGCCTCTTTGTCAAAATGGAAATGAGAAACTGGGGAATAAAAATTAAAGCAATTCTAGCATCTGGTTTTAACATAATTCTTATCCCTAAAAAGAATCTATAAGAAACTCCCAAAATGACAGGCAGCCGTGGGTAGCATTGCATTTCAAGTAATCTTTTAATTGTTAAAATTTAAGTTTCCAACATGAACATAAAATTTTCAACCTAAAAGAAATGAGTTCCAAATCTGAGACAAGTGAAAAAGGATAAAGCCTACTAGGGGGTAAATTCCATCTCTTTAGAGATCTAGTACCCAATTTAGCAATGTCCAATCAAGCCTTTAACTACTACATTTGAACACCTCATCATTTCAAAATGTTACTTAATGATGCCAATTAACTGTACAATGTCTCTGCATAGCACATAGCCCTAAAATGATTTGTGCAATGTTACTGTCAGTAAAACTGAACTACAGGGAATGCTCATATTCTATGTCATTATATACAGAAATGCAATATCAATAAAGTGATATCTGTTGGTATTAGAAAAAAGTGAAAATTTTCATATCTTTCTATTTTCTTTTTTCCTCAATGGGATGCTCTTGTTAAAGATAGCTCTGCATAGTAAGGTTTGTATAAACATTATTTAGCTAAAGTTAAAAGGGGTAACATACTGGTTCTAGCACAGATATTAAAACAAATTAGTTTGTAGGTAGGGCAGCAATCAATTATATTACTAACCATAGCTTTGGTCCTTTTATCCTTTCCCATTTGATTTTACACAGTGGGATGTTAAAGGTTGAATGTCTTTGGTATCTATAAACTTAATTGAAAGCTGTTATTTGTTTGTTTAAGTCTGTTGATTTTTATAATCATAATTTTACTCCTATAGATTTCTTGTAGGAGTACTATATGAATTTATGTTGCACTGAATTTTGTTATGTTATACAAATTAATAGGCTTTTATTTATGGAAAGCTACTATTGATCTGTCATTTCTTAAAAAATTACTAAAAAGTGTTAAAACTTTAAATGTTGGAGAGTTTATATTTTAAAAGTTACATGCTAGAAAAACATGATGTCTGAGTATATTAGAAGTTATAGATAATTCATCTGTCAACTATAAAACTCTCCAACACTGCCTTTCTTTAATGAATAATATGAAATTTAGCAGTGAAAATGTGACAATGTACAATCCTAAATAAATCAACAAATTTAGAGATGTACCTCTAAAACCATTGTAAATTCAACAGTGTAATTTTCCATTGGACTTTCACTTATTCATTCATTAAACAAATGTTTGTGAGTGCCTGCAATGTATGAGACATTGTACTGAAGCTAGGCAGTGTGAGTTATCATATGGGATTATCCTTTAAATACTTCTGAGGGCAAAAAAAAAAAAAAAAAGAAGAGAAAAGGTGTGAGGAAAGATAAAGGGTTAATTCATTAAAAAATAACACTTGAGGACTGTTTTCTTTGCAAGGCATAAAGTTATCACCCTTTCAAACAGTAGATATTTCACATTTAGGATGCGAGACTCCAGTTCCAACAAAGCTCATTGCACAGCTGCTACCCTGATTAAACTGCTACATGAACTCTGAGCAATGTAGCATGGTAGCCGCATGCTTCTGCTTGCATGATGGTTAATTCCTTCCATTCTCATTAGTGATTTTCTGAGCTTTGAAATTCTGATGGTACCTAGGATATAAAGCATATTTATCTAACTGAAAAACAGATAATTAGATGTAACATAAAATATGAATGGCTTTGTCACTTTATTGTAGCAGAGAATGAATGTGGGATAAATTAAAGCTGATGCTAGAACATATGCCTATTTTTTAGCTGGAAAATTTCAAGATTTATGTACTTTGGGCTTGAGAAAGAAATGGAGTTTATTTTTTATGCACTGACATCTCTTTTTTTTTTTTTTTGGAAGAGCTCTCTTAGGAATGAATGGTATGTAAATACAGTAGGAATGTAATTATAGATTTTCCTGACCCAGTTCCTAAATAATAGATATCATTTCAGAAGTGCCCCAATACCTGACCTTTTGCTCCAAGCCATATCAAAGCACACATCTAGTCTACTTTTCACTCTCATTCCTAGCCACTATGACAATACTATTCAGATAAAACTTCTAGTCCTCTACTTATGTGACTCATACCAACTTGACCTTACGATAGTGACTGGGGGTGCATATCTAGGTTCATGCTGTTTGTCCATTATTATGGTTTTGTGAGAAAAGGCAAAATTTCTAGGTAAAGTGTTATGAGGACGAATAATCCACCAGGCAACCAACTGACCCTTTCATTTGCCATCTTGTCACTTCAAACAGCTCTCCAGAACCTGCAGCCAGCACAGACCAAAGTCAGGTTTGTCTCCTCTTCTGTTGATGAACAAAGGTTGATTCCATATCGTGGCTATTGTGAATAGTGGCAGTAAACATGGCAGTATTGTATGAAAATATCACAGATAGCCCTTAAATATGTGCAACTATGATGATCTATCAAAATTAAAAATTAAAATTTATTTTTAAAAGTTCAGTTAGAAAGCTTGTAGTTCCTGGCAAACTACTACCTTTCTCGGCAAAAGAATTTGATATCTCTTAAATATTTTCTGCCTAATGCTGATAGATTGTATTTACATATTCCATTAATGCAATAAATAAAATTACACCAAAACATCAGCATTATTTATTTCCAGGGGCATCTCTCAAAATAAATTCCTCCAAAATTCACAAAACCAAAACCAATGTGAAATTGTACTCAGGGATGCAAATGTAGCCCAGTGAAGCATTTGCCCACTTGTTTGGTATTATTGAAGCACAATTAGAAAAATGTGCAATGTATGCCCAAAAATTCTATAATAAGGGCCAGGCGCGGTGGCTCACACCTGTAATCTCAGCATTTTGGGAGGCCAAGGTGGGCAAATCATGAGGTCAGGAGATCGAGACCATCCTAGCTAACACCATGAAACCCAGTCTTTACTAAAAATACAAAAAATTGGCCCAGACGTGGTGGCGGGATCCTGTAGTCCCAGCTACTCGGGAGGCTGAGGCAGGAGAATGGCATGAACCCAGGAGGCAGAGTTTGCACTGAGCCTACTCTCCAGCCTGAACGACAGAGCGAGACCCCATCTCAAAAAAAAAAACCATAATAAGAACTTTTTAATATACTATATTATAATGTAAAAAGACTAGATGTCAAACAAATTAGGTGATGGGAAGGAATTGAGGGAGAATTTTAGACTAAGCAATTGAGCAGCACCTGTTTTTCACCACAAATCTGTTACATGTATTGCTCAATTGTGCTGAATCCATATTGGGTCCTGGTGGCTATGTAATAGTCTCTTTCTTGGATAAATGTTTGTCCTCTCTTATGGTTTACTAATGGTGTACAGAACAGCATTGAATAGTGGTTATTTCCTATGACTTCCTAGATATCTCTCTCATAATCCTGAATGTTTTAAAGATCATTCTTAGATAGAGTACAGCTAGACACGAACCATAGTGGAAATCAGGTAGACAAAATTTAAAAGGAGTCTTAATTGAAGGTCATTTTATTGTCCTCAGTATTAATCTTACTTAAAACAAACCTGTCACTGAGCAGAACTCAAAACACCAGAGCCCTTTGCCAAATGTGATTTTTTACAACAGGAGCGCTGGCAGTTGAGAGGAGTATTCTGTCACACTTGAGAGAATTCGAGTCCCTGAAGATTTATATGAATGCTTAGCTATTATCGAACCATCTCTTCACAGATGACTTAGTAAATGTCTGCCTTTGCATCAGATAATGGCTTACAAGTTAATCTCCTCTTGCTCCCTGTTACACACATATACACCTTCTTCCTAAACAGCTCATAAGGTGAAAGAAAGACTCAGATTTCTGACTATGTAATTGATAATATCACACGGACTGCCTGCTCATCATCTGCTAGTCACATTGGCAGAGTTGACAGTTTTGGAGACACTGAAGACAGTGCATATATTAGGAAATAAGCAGTTTCCTGATATAAATTTTCTTGTAGTTTATAAATTACATAGCATTTATTATTCCCTCATATTTTATAACATTTAATAATAGAACTGACACATATATTCATTTTAAACTCAATTGTGTATAATAACTATCATAGCAACCCTTCAGTGCCTAAATATCAAATCTTCCATTCCTCCCATGAACATCTTGAATATATAGGTACTGTGGTTAGCTCCAACAAGCTTTTGGTTAGAATTCATTGCACTGATACATAGACATTGTTTTAAAGGCAATTTCAAATCAAAGCTGTCAGCTGTGAATCAAGCACACCTTAAAAAGTGACACATTTGTCACTAGATTCCAGCCTCTCAAATTACTGACACGCATCCTTTTTATGTAAAGATGACATTGTTCTTTCCTGATATATTGCATTCCTCATGAATTTCTTATAGTCATAGAATTTTTATAAACCATTTCAGAATCGCTGAAATAAACATCAATATTTTTAACTTTTTCATTCTGTCAAAAATATTGTATGCAGAGATATTGCTGTAAGTGTGTATACCTGTGCTTAAGAGACTAGGGCTGAAGAGAAGTAATCAACCGAACCACTGGTGTAAATGTGCGTCACATTTTTAGTGACTAGAAATTGAAATAATTCCAACAAATTTATGTGCTTTGGGCTTGAGAATTCAGACTGCCTTAGGCTAAGATAAAAATCTTTTCCTGGTACTATATACCTTCTTTTATTGAATGACTACCTGGCTCTTTCTATTATATATGCAGATTTTGTACCTCTGGTCATCTTTGTAAATGGTGCCTAAAAGATATTTGAAGAATAAGTGACCAGCAATAAGAACAAATGTCTATACAAAAGCACCCTTTAGTTGGATGTAATTCACTACTTTGAGTTGTTAATAACCTCTAAGGATGACAGTAGCTATTAGTTGAATAAACCATTATGTCTATTATTAGAACACTAGATAGTTTATAAGTCCAAACAATGCATAAAATACCTATCTCATGTTACCATTGTTTAGGTTACCAGATAATTGTTCTGTCCAATTATTCCACTTAATTTTTTGCTTGCCCATTAGCTAAATGGCAAGATAAAATTTGTCAAACGGGGGGGAATGTATTGAAAATGCTAGACAACTACACTTAAAATGAAAACAGGCCAGGCGCGGTGGCTCAGGCCTGTAATCCCAGCACTTTGGGAGGCCAAGGCGGGTGGATCACCTGAGGTCGGGAGTTCAAGACCAGCTTGACCAACATGGAGAAACTCCATCTCTACTAAAAATACAAAATTAGCCGGGCATGGTGGCACATACCTGTAATCCCAACTACTGGGGAGGCTGAGGCAGAAGAATCGTTTGAACCCAGGAGGCGGTGGTTGCAGTGAGCCGAGATTGTGCCACTGTATTCTAGCCTAGGCAACATGAGCGAAACTCCATCTCAAAAAAAAAAAAAAAAAGAAAGAAAAGAAAACAAATGCATAATTTGCAAATATTATTTTTATATTGTATGTTATCTAGGGCTTCTAAATGCATTCTTCTTATAAGCCTAGGTTTGCAATAACATTCATTTAGAATTGAGTAATTTTAAATATAATATTTTATAAAATAAAATATAATAATTTCTCTTAATTCTTTGAAAATATTAAATTAAAAGGGGGTTGCAAACTCTGCATTCCACATTTCCATCCCAACATTTAATTTTAGCAATTTTGTAGTCTGCCTAAAATGCAATCCATCATTTACTGTTTAGAAAATAGGGAATGTACACAAAGGCCTTTCAGCTTTCCCTGAACTCCATAAAAATCTTTTTGCTTCTTTACTGCCCCCCTTTGTCAGGAGTTCTGAGGAACTGTTTTTTATCTTAAGTCTCACAAAGCATTTAGGAGAATATTTAAACTTAAATTCTTTTAAAACTTATGTTCAGGACAAAGTAACATTGTATGCATTGGTGTCATATGTATTTAAATTTTGAAATTTTTAATACTGGCAAAATGAGGTTTCAATTTTAATATAAATTATTTAACAATCTTAAATCATTAAATATATTACTTAATATATTTAATATATCTAAACAGTCACAATTTTCCCATACTAATAATCATAAAAAATCTTACCCAATGGTCATATAGATATACTTAATGGAGTTTTGGGGGGGTATTTTTGTATATTAAAAAATTCATATATTTGCCTTACTTAGAAGAACTGATTAAATGAAAGTATAATATTAACAAACATATTGTTATTTTATATTTGCATTTGTGATAATTATATTTGAAACGTTCAAGATTTTCCAATGAATTTCTTTTGCATTTGCGTATTTGTGCCTTTTTATTATAAAAATAGGTGGCTTTTTAGTTCCACTGCATAAGTTTCAACATAGGTCTACAAATAGTGCATCTTTTTGAAGTTAATCATTATAATCACAAATTGAAGTTGCCTGAGCTCCAATTGGAGTCTAAATGGATGACTGAATCTTATTATTCGAAACCCACTGTTGCTACACAATATGGCCACACAAGAGAGTACACAAGACCCGTCTGATTCAGCCTCAGTGCCATAAATATTTTAATGGTTTCGTTGGAATCTGGAAATGGAGCTCACCACAGGAGATGCTTCTTCCTTTGACTCTCATTATTATTTCCTTTACAAATTAATTAATAAAAACTTAGATGCTAAATTAGCACTTGATGAAAACTTATATAGCCTTGACATTTTGATTCTGTGAGTGAATAAAAATACTTGGAGAAATAAAAATCCTAATCATGTTCAGGAATACCCACAAGGTAACAAGTACATTTTTAAACTTTAAAAACATTTATTATTCATGATAAAACATGTTGTGTGATTTAAATATAAATTTTTATTATTTGCTTTAACTTATTTCCGGATTAAAAAGTAAATGTTTACCTAGCTGTTCTAAATGGTAATCCTCATGATTAAAACAGCAATTTGTCATATTTCAGTTACAAATGATCTTTTATTATTAGTTATAGAACATAAGTTTCTTCATTGACTGAGGCGATGTTTCAAGTAGATAAATCTGTTAAAAAAATTGTGGTCATATTCTGTTAAATTCTCATACCAGGCAATTTGTTTGATATTCAGGAAAAACCTAGCCACTGACCAAAAACTCTACCTGCCTTCTCAGTTGTATCCTCTTGGACTTAAAGGGGACTGGGAAAGTTATAAGATGGTTCATGATAGTCCATCAACATCCCAAGAACAAAAACAGATGTTGTACTGACAGCATCATATGATCATATGCATGTAAGAGCACATTCATATTGCCAAATCAGTTGGAATTTTTCACGGTTGAAAGTTAAATGAAATGCTTAGATGTATGAGTCATCGGAGTTAAAGACAATTACAGCCAGATTTATGGCTGTGCTAAAATAAAGCTAGTTAGAAAACAGACCAAATTCCATGACGATACCAAGTCTGACTAATGATTCACCTTAAATTTCGGAGCAACATTTATCCTCACTTGTTTGTTTATTTGACAATGTGCCCTTATCCATTAAGTAACTAGGAGGAAGGGAAAAGCACTACGTGGGTGAGTGACAAGACACTGACACTGATTTGTGACTTTGGATAATTCCTGGATGCTGTTATCTGTTTTGGCATAGAGATGGATCTGTAACTGCTAATAATTGCCGACTGTGACCATCCCAGAGGCCATTTACTTAACCCAGGTATTTCAGACCTGACAGCCCGAGGATAAACACGATTTCCCTCCATCACTAACTTCATCTGCAGGGCCTAAGCCTCCTTCACAGTCTCTCCAGTGATTTATTGGCATCTCCAAGGGTATCTCACATGTGCTGAAGAACAAATCTGCTCACTTTCATCTGCTTGGTTTTCCCTTTTGAAATCTGCTGCTTTAAAATTACTAAGGGAGGAATCATGCCTGCTGCTACCCTTGCCAGTGACCTTGCAGTTTGTGCCCTGATTGTTCCAATTACCACAATCAAAACAGAAGCGTTTGCAGTTACTGCAGTGCTCTCTCTGTGGATGTCAGGTCTGACTCAGAGAGCCAGGCTGGGGAACAGCCATTTCCACTCTTGTACCTCTGCAAAAGGACTTCCATGTTCCGTAAACAGACTCCCACCTCTCATTTTCCCCCCAAGCAAAGCATCATAAATTAGAGAGCATGTAACGGGAAAGAAAATCCATTAGCCATTTGGGTTCAGTCAGACAAGCCAGCTCATGGAAAGTTTATACAGGAAGGTCACATTTCAATTGAGATCAGGAGGGTGAAAGGGTCCAGCTGTGTGATGAGAGAGAGAATGTTCGGGAATGTGGAACAGAGGTATCCAAGGCAGAACAAACTCGTATATGAAGGCTTTAAGGGTGTGCAAATCTAGCATATTTTATGACATAAAAGAGTCCTGATTAGCTAGAATATGATGAATGTGAGAAGAGGTGAAGGCTGGAGATAGGAAAAATTATTCCAGATCTTATAAGCTATAGTAAGAAATTTGCATATTATATATAGACTTGTGGGAAGCCATTGGATTTTGTAAGAAGGAGATTAACATTATCTTATTTATGTTATTTGTGATTTATAACCCCAAATGTGCCAGATACAAACAAACCAAAAATAATAATAATAATAATAAGAAGAAGAACAACAACAGCAATGGAACTGTGGTGATGGTTTTGGTCACAAAATGCATATATATCTATTTTTCACAATGCAAAAATATTTCATTATTTCAAATTTTAACATAAATGTGGGTATGCATGAGCTTACAAATCTTGAAGTTTATTGGGGAATATTGGTGAGCATGGTTTTTATTGCATGGTCACAACTTACTAATGGGAAACATCTGAATACCTATTGAGTTAATGCATGCACATTTTTATTTTCCTGGAATACTGAGAAAAAGGTTGCTACATAATGTCTTGATAGCTTCTAAGTCATGGCTCAAAAGTGAATGTGGAATCTGCTAATCGGAATGGACTCAGATTCAGCCAAGTTCTCAAAAACATTTGCTTTCATAGATGTCTTCAAGAAACAAGGAGTCTTGAATTTAAATTGTGAAGTGTCTATCTTAGAATAGAGAGATTTAAAATCTGACTGTATTTTGTTTAAAAAAGCCTATATAACTGTATTATATAAAATTATTTATACTACAGTTAAAAAAAGAATCCCATCCTATTTGTGCCTAAATAAGTGCCTGCTTGTAGCATGAAAACTATTTGTTGAGGGTCCTTAGATCCTCAGAGCATGCTGTGAAAGTAGGTACAATTGTTCTTTCTATATAAGCCTCTTAAGATAACAGATAATTGCCAGAAATACAGCACACAGTACAAAATTACCTTGTTTTACTTTTGCCACAAAAAACAATTTCTTTTGGCTTTGAGCAATAAAGTCCAATGATTTTTTTCCTTTCAAAATATCTTCCTCCCTCTCCATAAGTTTTATATTTATTCACGAAGGAATATTCCAATATCGGATGTTTTTGTCTGTGTCTCTTCCTGGAACAAATGTTAATTAATCTCTTTGGGTTTGTATGTCAAGTGGAGGGGTGGGGATTGGGGACAGGTGATAGTTGTCTAGGGAGTTAACTTCATCTCTATAGGAGAGTGGATAGACGCTGTATACGAAAAGCTCTTGAAAAGGGAAATACAGCAGCCACTTCCTCAGGGCTTCCATGGTGGTCAGACTCCTTGATTGCTTTAGATTAACTCTGGCTTTTGTCCTTCGGAGGCCACCAGATTGGGTGGATAGACATTGTCCTTGCTGTTCTTTTGACCTACCTACTTGTACTTTAGGGGAAAAAAATGCCTGTAATAGGTTAAATGCTTTCTCAAAGATCACCAAAGTATATAACACATGGCAAATAGACAGAGAAATGAGACAGTATAATCAGTATAATTTATAAAAGTACCTTACAGCAGGATCCCATGGGATATGGGTTTTTTTTAAAAAAAATCTACCTAATCTTTTCATTGAACTCCTATTCAGGATTCATTATATTGAATATGGCTCAGAGACCTGGAAAATTGTTTCCACCTTTTTAATTTATTCACCATCATTTATGGAAGTTTTCAAGGACGTTTACTTACCTACCTCAGTTAACAGATTGTACTACTTGGGAAGTCTATAAATATGAGCTTAAAGCATTTTCTGAGTTTTAAAATAATTTAGATTGTGTAGAATGTTAAAACTAAAAGAGGAAAAAATTATTCAGTTCCTCAGTTGAACCTAGCAATTTATCTTTTCACAGTGTGCTCAAGTATAGTTTTTGAAAAGTAAAGAAGATGGTTTTTATACAAACATAAACACATTTCAAAGATTTTATTCAACTAATTAATTAGTAGTGGAGCCAATAAGCTGGTAAGACTGGTTTAAAGGAATATCTGAGGAATAAAGATTTATAGAAACAGTCAAAGAAATTCTAAAGAGAATTGACTAATAGATATAAATCTAGTAAATATTTGATTAATAATAGCAGTAACCTATGGAATTATGTTTTCTACTGAGCATAAATGAGCATGAATCTCTTTGGGTTTGTATGTCAAGTGGAAGGGTGGGGATTGGGGACAAGTGATAGTTGTCAAGGGAGTTAACTTCATCTCTATAGGAGAGTGGATAGATGCTGTATAAGAAAAGCTCTTGAAAAGGGAAATAAAGCAGCCACTGCACATCTGCACATATAACCTGTAGATCTGGGGGCTCTAATAAAAAAGTTAATGGCAATGTCAAAATCTGGTGTTTTATCTTAGATAACTTCATAGTCATTGATTGAGCCCCTTAAAAATAACATTTAAAGGACATGTAGTCATTCTGTTTCTTTATTGCCAAGTTTTCAGCAATTTTTCTCATGAGAATGAGTGCTAAGAAACTTTTGGTGGAGCGTGGTGGCTCAAGCCTGCAGTCTTGCACTTTGGGACGCCAAGGCTGGCCAATTACTTGAGATCAGTAGTTTGAGACCACCCTGGCCAACATGGTGAAACCTTGTCTCTACTAAAAATACAAAAAAAAAAAAAAGTGGGATGTGGTGGCATGCGCCTGTAATCCTGGCTACTCTGGAGGCTGAGGCACGAGAGTCACTTGAACCCGGGAGGCAGAGGTTGCAGTGAGCCGAGATCCTGCCACTGCACTCCAGCCTGGGCTACAGAGGGAGACTCCATCTCAAACAAACAAACAAACAAAAAAGAAACTTTTAAAATATAACAATAGAGACATTACATAGGCCCACAAAACCACCTCCAAAAAAGCATTCTATCACCTGCAAGAAAGCATATATATATATCTGCTTTTGTGTATATATATATATATATATATATCTGCTTTTGTGTATATATATATACACACACACACACACATATGTGTGATATCAGCATGTGTATTTACACATATATTTTGTGCATGTATATTTTTAACTAAAAATGTGCTAGGAGTTAGATATGAACTGATTTTGGAGGAGGTGATATGCTGTAGAGAGAGAGAATGGGAGAATAGCAGTATTATAATCTCTCTCCATTGTATTCAGTTTTTTTCTTTGTCTGAATTTTTAATAGAAGTCAGCCAGAAGATGTTAGTTTCTGGGAAATGTGTTGAGATTTACAGTCAAATCCAGAGAGAACTAGAGGCTTATGAGTAAATAAGTAAAGGTTATGCAGAGAAAGTATTCTTTTTCCTGTGTAAACTTGAATATTGGCCAGGCGCGGTGGACACCTGTAATCCAGCACTTTGGGAGGCCAAGGCGGGTGGATCGACTGAGGTCAGGAGTTCATGACCAGCCTGTCCAACATGGTGAAACCCATTCTCTACCAAAAATACAAAAATTAGTGGGTGTGGTGGCAGGATCCTGTAATCCCAGCTACTACGGAGGCTGAGGCAGGAGAATTGCTTTAACCTAGGAGGCGGAGGTTGCAGTGAGCTGAGACAGCGCCATTGCACTATAGCTACGGCGATAAGAGTGAGACTTCATCTAAAAAAAAAAAAGAAAAGAAAACCTTGAATATTTCTTGTACTTGTGTTCAAATCATACAGTTATGAAAGTTTACCCCTAGCTGTTACACTTAAAATGTACTTCTGAAATATACAGAGAGATGATACAGACTATTAATGAGTTCCACTAAACTTTTAATGGTTTAGAAAATACAAATATTTTCTTATTTTTCTGGAATTCCAGCCATTAATGTAAAACATTGGTTTCAACATAAATAACACACTGGCATGCACATATGCCTAAGCATGGGCCCCCACACATACAGACATTCTGAAAGACCACTTTTTAAAAATATTCAGTACCGTATATTGTGCATTCCTTCTTTATCCACATACTTAAGCTGCTGCAAGCATCCCATTGATAACACCAGTAATAAAAGATGGGACCATCAGTAATGAGATTTGAAAGCCCCTTTTGCAAGAAAGTAAGGACTAGAAGGTGGAAATCACTCTGTCTTAGAGTCATATGGATTGGGGCTTTGCTAGAAGTGTGTGCTCTCAGGGAAAGCTGCCTTTTTATTTTCTCCAGAGAAAAGCCTTTTTGTCAGTAAAAGAAGATGTATCATCCAATGCATATGTAAAATTCTAAACAGCAGATAAAACAACATTCACTATTAATCTCTGCAAAAGAAGATATATTGAAAAAATCCTCAAGTGTCCCTCTTTGGGTTTCTTTGTTATATATTAAAGCAGTTATCTTTAGATGCATGAGAATCACCTGAAGACCTTATTTTTAAAATTCAGATTCCTGTCAGTTCACTCCCAAAGATTCCGATTCAGTAGTTAAGAGACAAAGCCTAGGAATGTGAATTTACAATCAACACCTCAGGTGATAGCCATGCATGTTCTTAATGCTCTACTACTATCTATGCATAAAAGGAAGATAAAGTTTTAAAAACTTGAAATGTGGTATAACAGTTTAGTATTGAATAATATACATTTTTACTTATTGTAACAAATTATGATATCTACTTGGGGCAACAGTATCTTTTATTTTGGATCTGAATCCTAATTTTGGCTAGGTATCACTGAGGGATTCTTAGTCTAAAACAATTAAATGGAGTTAGTGGTTTTTTTTAGTAACTCTTGATTTTCTGTTTTTTTCCATTGGCATCTTACAAAATTTATTCATTCATTTTTCCCTTTTTCACTTGGCATTATTTGTTAGACAGTGGACAAAAGAACTATAGAAAGTAGAGAAGCATGTGATGTTG
Organism: Homo sapiens; assembly: GCF_000001405.40. NCBI lineage: Eukaryota > Metazoa > Chordata > Mammalia > Primates > Hominidae > Homo > Homo sapiens. The sequence continues at coordinate 89,748,058 of NC_000004.12, read as the reverse complement.
TCCTGCTCTTAGATTCTCGCAACTCAGGAGAGGACATTCGCTTACACCAATCATCTCAAAACATGGCAGTTTATGCTGAACTCAGTCCAATGGGAGAGCATTTGACTGAGCACATAGGGAGAGAAGTTAGCTCTGTTGAAGGATAATCAACGAAGAATTCTTAGGAAAGGTACAGTCATTCATTGAATATTTGCTCGGCACTTACTAGGTGCATATGTGCACTAAGATCTAAGGATGGGCTGATGAAGAACCCAGGTCCCTTTTCTTCTAGTGGACATGCAGACTGGCCTAAAAAAAAAAAGGTAACTGGAAAATGGATAAGGAAACTGAGTCACTCGGTTTATTTATTATCACTCGGTTTATTTGCTTTTGTTTGTATTTTCATTTTGACACAGCACAGTGTCATCTTAACGCATCCTCCAAAGTGAAGGATGGGGTGGATAACACTTTAGTTGGCATTTCTGTAGCCAGGAGCCAGGATCTTTCTCCCATAATTGCATTAACCTGGGAAGGCACCCTCTAGGTAGATTTGTATAGCACCCTGGTTAATCAATTATCAGTTTACTTCTTGTCTCACTAAGCTTTAACACCTTACATTTATGAAGCAGTGTAAATATAACTTTAGCATCTTGATCACAGCAAGCACCTGATTTGTATTTTTTTATTAGCTCAAGTGAAATCAGATCAGAGAAGTACATTACAGGTCATAAAATATGTGCAAATTTCATAATGACCTCCTTTTAAAATGTGCAAAAATAAGATTGTTAAGGCACATTCCAGAGCCTTGGGGGGTGTGTGTGTGTGTGTGTGTGTGTGTGTGTGCGTGTGTGTGTGTGCTTGTCTTTTGAGAATATCTGTATATCAGAAAATTTGGCTGAGAAGCAATCTTCTTCTTAGTGGTTCTTTTTCTCTTTTGAAAATAAAGTACTAAAAATACTTAAAGATGCAGAACAGCAACCTGTTCCCAGTGAGACTCTCGTTTAATTAATGTGGTGATCTATATAGAGAAAAGGGACAATTGCAAAAGTCCCTCAATAATTATCTAACCACAGTCTTTAGGTAATTACAGCAGAAAGATTTTCAAGACACAAAACACCCTGGAAAATTTGACCTCTTATTTTGATTCAGGCCTTTCATTTCTTAAATATTTTCTTTAATGTTGATGTTTATGCTTGACAAGGTCAGCCTAATGCCAGATGAATCCCTGGAACTCAAAACATTGCTGAATTCACAGTTGAAGGATTTTAATATAATATACCAGCTTTTAAAAATCCTACAGTGAGAATAACAGGACTGAATAAAAAAATTAAGAAATGCTCAGGTAGAAATAAATAGAGAAATTTAGAAAAAAAATAAAACGTATTCAAAATAAGTATTAAGCATTGGCAAAGAAAAAATAGTAGCAGACAATTACATGTTCCATTTGTAAAGATGATTATTAATTAGTGGTCTTGCAAAACATTGGAGAAAATTTGCTGAACCATCACATTCATAAATATTAAAACCACCCATTAGTGAAAATCTTTTTACTAAACTTCACAACTGATAGTCAAATAATGTTCAGTTTTTCTCCATTGCAATAAAAAATAAAGGCTTTTGCCTTCAGATCAGTCTCTGGGCCTTATTAATTCAGTCAGCCAGAAGCCACATGGAAATATTTTGTTTTGTTAAAAGCCAGCTTGCCCTCATGATCTTTTAAAATCTTTTAAAAATCTTCCATCAGCCCTCTCCCTGACTTGAATTATGGCAGTGCTTTCTAAACTGGTAAACTCAATCTCCTTGGTGTGCCTCAAGATAGAGTACATAAACCCTCCTTAGAAATTGAGCTCTCAATTCTAAATTGCACTCTCCATGAGAGCAAGCAAGAATGCTTTGCTTTGTATTAAGTGGTCACAATATTAAATATAACCATAGACAGCACTGTATTTTCTAAACACCTTATTTTCTTTTAATGACTGACATAAATTAGATCATAAGTATACAAATGCATATCTGTTGTATTTTTCAGCACCATGTGTTTTTTTTTCTTTTTTCTGAGTTATTTTCCTGCTTTCGGCAGCCTTTTCTCTCAGGTGCCTTGTGATCCACAGTGGTGTGTGTTCACACTAACCAAAGCAATAGTCTTACCTGCCAGAAATAGCTGTGACATTTAAAGAGAGGTCCAGGGGAAGGCACAGTGCTTAACATCCAAGTCTGAAGAGCTAATAGTGAAATTGGGGCATCAGCTACAGAGAGATTTAGGGGAAGTAACAGGCAGGTTAAATATTTTATGGAAATGATTTCTGTTCTGTATATGATTGCAATTAACACATGTCAATCTGTTTCATTAATTTGTTAACTCATCTATTATGCTATGCCATGAAGAAAATAAAATTGGAGTTCTTTATTTTTTTGAGATGGAGTCTCACTCTCTTGCCCAGGCTGGAGTGCAGTGGCAGGATCTCAGCTCACTGCAATCTCCACCACCCAGGTTCAAGCGATTCTTCTGCCTCAGCCACCTGAGTAACTGGGACTACAGGTGCGTGCAACCATGCCTGGCTAATTTTTGTATTTTTAGTAGAGATGGGGTTTCACCATGTGGGCCAGGCTGGTCCCAAACTCCTGACCTCAAGTGATCCGCCTGTCTTGGCCTCCCAAGGTGCTGGGATTACAGGCGTGAGCCACCGCGCCCCGCCACAAAACTGAAGTTCTAAGCTTCAGTTTAGATGCTCACTAAATGCTTGTTTTGCAATACCTGACTGTAACTGGCAGGAATATGTTTTGAAAGTCCTCATTTTCCAGGTATGCAGATGAAATATAGGGGCATTATCTACTATGTCAAATTATAATGATTTATCAGTGGCACATGAAAGTCGCCTCACATTTCTTAATCAGTGATATACCATTATGTCATGCCACCTTTTAATGTAATATGTTTACATCTTTCTTTAGATGTAAGCATTCATTTAGTTCATCACGGTGGCTTTCACACTTACTCCAAGAACGCTATGAGTTCCTTTGATGTGCTCAAGTCTCCTGCCCCAGGGAGAAAGGGAGTGGTGAGCAGGAATCGCTTTAATCTATTTACACAGATATTTTCTTTTCCATTTATTTTAAAGGAATTTTTTTTAACTTAATGAGTATGCAGTGACGGTGGTGATGATGATGATACTAAGGTTTAAATGATTAGATAGTCAAATCTGGGCTGGAATTGTAATACTGTTTTGACTTTTAATCTTAGAGAAGCTCCAGTCTGCTTATTTTCTGGGCATAAACACATGAGAACAATAACACAGTTCTGTTATCTGAATGTTGTTATATTTTGTTTGAAACATTCAGTGACTTTCAAATATTGTATTTGCCTAAGAAAATTCAACAGAGTCAGACATTCTCTTCCAGGTTAAATTTGGTGAGTCTGCTAGGAAAATAAATTTTGTGCACTGGTCATTCTGATCTAGTGGACGTTCTAATAAAAGCACCTTTGTGCTGCCTACGTCTTCACTTTAAAGATAAGATACCTGGGTACTCGACACCAAATTATAGTTTGAGATCTCAAAAATGGGATAGGGAAACCACAGCTCAAAAACAAAAATACTAGCACTGGAAAAGATAGAACTAGTGAAGATGAATCATTCTCTAGACTTTAAATTCAGAGATATCAAAATTAAGAAAAAGTAGGAGGAATAAAAAAAGAGGGTAAGCAAAACAATATAAGTTTGTATAGCAAGAGGGTATAAAGCAAATACAATATTTTTCAGAAAAATTAAATAAAAATAGATTTACATAACATTGTTTTTAATCTCAAAGATCAAATTTCAATTTTCATCTCATTTTAAAACCCATATGCACAGTCTCCTTTATATACATCAGTTGGGTGTCAAAGTGACTTTTTTCTTGTTTCCAAATACAGTTATTTTTAAAATTTAATTGTATGATTTAGGAATTTGAAAGCAAGCCAGTTTGCACACACATATGTTATTATATGTGTGCTTTAGACTTGGTTTTTAGTTAATGTAACATGACAGGGCCACCTGAGTTATTTGTTTACAAACTAGCTGGAAAGCCACCCTGGAGGAGAAACCTGGCAACAAAATGGTCTGCAGCTTTGTTATTGTTATCTATAGGATTGGATGCCATTATTGCTGTAAAATAGTTCACAAGAACTCAGTCTATGGGAAAGACTCAAAAATTCTTTGCCTGTTAAAGAAAAATCAGGATATTGGACTGGTTAGTTTAACTAAAAAGTGATGATACTCAGATTCTGCTTGGATTCACTGCTTCTCAGCAGTTGTTTTGTTTCTTTCTAATTGATATTTTATTTTTCAGAGAACCCATTATAAAACTCTTCTTCTTCCCTTAAAATCACAACCACACAACAGCAATTAAAACATGCTTTGACGTAAGACTGATATGGTTTTAAACCCAGCTTGACTATCGAATTTTTTACTTTAGGCAAAACACCTCTGACATTTATGTCTTATCGTCAGTAAAAAGGGGTGATTAACAGTTTTACAAGATTATTCAATAAATAAATATAAATTCCTCCTTTTCCTTCCTTTCCTTTCTTCATCTTCAGCATCTGCATGCCATAAGCTCATTTTAGTTCTCTGGACTCATGTTAACATGTCCCACCTTTCCCAAATTAAACATCATCTCTGTTATTGGCTCCATTCTTTTCCTCTCATTTGAGACAATTCTTTATCAACCAACACCCTCTCTGCTCTGTATTGTGAAACTCTGCTCCTACTACATTAACAGTCTCTTGGTTTCTTTAAAAAGAAGACAAAACAATTAAAGAACAGAAGCAAAAAATCTACTCAAATCCCCAATTGTTACCCTCAAAATTAATTGTCCCACCCCTAGCTTTCTCATTGCACAACTCTTTGTCAAAATGTTTTCTACCATCACAGCCTTCAATGATCTTTCTGGTTCCTTTATCTCCTGAAGTCTGACTTCTACCTCCATCTTTTTCTGGACTATTCAACACACTTTGAGAAAAAACATACTTTTGTTAAACAGGTATGCATCCCTGAAGCATAAAATACATAGTACTGAAAGTGCACATGTGTGGTTCTTCCCATTTTTTTTACAGCACTTGAAACTGACAAGTAGTAGTACCAATTACTTAGTAAAAGACCTTTTTCATTTCATTTCTGAAATATTGTTATTTTCCTTTTTCATCTTCCATCTCTGACTACACCTCCAATTTTACCTCTTTGCTGCCTTCCTTCCTAAGAAAGTTCTTCATGCAATGCCATCTTGTTTTTCTTCACTTGCCTCTTTTTCTCACTTTAATTTTATGAACTCTGATGACTTACCTCTGTAGTGTAACTACTCAAAATATGTATTTCTGAAGTCTCAACTCCAATCTCATATTTTCAACTTATATTTATGGAGGCATCTCAGACTCAACCTACCTAAAAAATGGCTTATCTGCCCTAAAATCTACTTTGTTCTTTTTTTCTCTACTGCTAATAATTATCTTCCTAGTTGGTCAAGCTCAAAACCTAATCATTTTTACTCCTTGTCCCTGTGTCAGCTGTCCACATTCAAGCAGCGTATCATTTCTGCACATTTTTCAAGCAAGTCAGTAACTGCCTTTTGTTTGGGACTGTCTTTTCATATAGTGAACAGCCTTGGAAGATAGAAATCATTTCTCCTTCTAAAACAAAAGGCAGGTGTGCTTGCAGCCTTGGATAGAGGTAGTGCCTCTTTCTAAAGCAAAGGGACATCTTTACTGGCCATTATAAAATATCCATGTTTCCTGAGCTCTGCGTTCCTCTTTTCTAATGCAACCCACTGAGCATGTAGGTGTCACCTGAGCTTTTCTGTGGGAATTGCGGCTTGAGGAATCAGTGCAAGAAAATCATGATACTCTTGCTAATGCTATTAATGTGAGTAGTAAAGTTAATTGTCTCTGACCCAGCACTATTGTGTCTTTGCCCAGCACTCAAAAGACTGGCAGGCTTGCAAGTAGGACAAAATGTTAGATTTTTCACAGTTCTTCTGCTTATAAGTACTTGTTAAAACCAATTAAAACACAACTTGTAGTTTGCACCTATAATTTTGTAGCATTTGCTTCTTATCTATGTCACTAGGATGTGCTTAGTGACAGACCCATCTATCATCTATTACTCAAGTTTTTGGCTGTATTCCTAGGCAACAGAGAGAAGGGGAACAAACAAGAGGACCTGTGCACAGTTTGAGAAAGGCAAAACACCGAGCTTAATTGCAGACTTGAATGTAGCTAGCAAACGAAGTAAGGCAAAAGGTTCCTTTTTTTTTTTTTTAGATGGAGTCTCACTCTGTCGCCAGTCTGGAGTGCAGTGGTGCTGTCTCGGCTCACTGCAACCTCCGCCTCCTGGGTTCCAGCGATTCTTCTGCCTCAGCCTCCCGAGTAGCTGGGACTACAGGCATGTGCCACCATGCCCAGCTAACTTTTGTATTTTTAGTAGAGACGGAGTTTCACCACGTTGGCCAGGATGGTCTCAATCTCTTGACCTTGTGATCCGCCCATTCGGCCTCCCAAAGTGCTGAGATTATAGGTGTGAGCCTCCGTTCCCGGCCAAAAGTTTCCATTTTTTAAATAGTTGGGTTTTTAGTTTCGATTCTTTCCAAAAAAAGGTTTTCTTAAAAAAATAAAATTAGCAATAAGATGAAATATAACAACAATATAATCTTATTAAGACAATATATGATATACATTTATCAAAATACTTATATTTTCAAAAGTGCTTAAAATAATCTAGCACATAGTAGATGCTCAGTAAATATTTGATATTATGACTGTGCATGGGTCATTATAGGCTACTTTATGTATATCATTTCATTTAGTACAACATCACTCTGAAAAATGTTTTATTGTTACCGTTTTTCAGTTGAAACATTTACGTTGCTCAAGATCTCACTGGTACCATCTACTATTAGGTCAGTCTGCCACCAAATCTCATGCTCTTAAATGCCCTTTTTCTCCTGAGCTTCCAACAAATAGTGTACTGTATATAATTGTTGAAGGGAGGGGACTGTGAGACAAAATATTTAGAGTGAATGTGTAGCCACAATTTCAGTTCCTCAACAAAGTGATAAAATTAGGAATCATCCTCAATATATATTCTTCCAACACACACACACACATACACACACACACACACACAAATACCACAAGCCCACTTGAATGCACCCCACCTACACATTGCAACCATAGAGACAATTGCAGCATTAAATACAGAATATTCTGTGTGTTGTTTGTTTGTTCTCCCTTTGCTACAAAAATCAGAATTTCTACTCAATAAACAGCAAAGGGAGATACAAATGAACCAAATTAAAGAAGGAAAAAATGTTGAAAAAATTATATACAGAACTATGTATTGATTTATTGAGAGTTCAGTAATGTAATCCAGAAATAATGGATGCCTTAAAAGTAATTAAAAGAATGCAAATAAACATTTAGTGCCAATTAAAGAAAAAGAAATACAACATTAGACAAAATAAAAGATATTCATTTGATGCAATGAGGAAATAATCTTTTATTCCTCTTTAAATTCTCTGTGGAATAAGGCATGGTTATAAATAAATAAACATCTGCCCCATGGACTTAATGGATCGTTATATTTTATTGCGATAATCATAATGAAATTGTTGGGAGGGATTAGTATCTCTAGTGTAATGCTAAGAAAGATAAAGCCTGTGCCCAGGCAAAAGCTTTCTTGGTTGGTCAAAAGGTTTGAAGACATTTCAAACTATTCTAAAACAAACAAACAAGCAAACAAACAAAAAACATACAATGTCTTTGCCACATATTTAGGAAACAAAATGAACAATTTATTTCTGACAACCTCATAGTCTTTGTTCTGTCAGAACAATAATGGAAAGGTCTAAACCAGAAAATGCTATGCATTGAATTTATAATAAACTATTTTTTCCTGTAACAAAAAATTGATAAACTTGATATTTGCAGATTTAATGATTATGTGTTTAAAAAAAATCTGGTTTTTGCCCTTGCAAAAAATCATATATATACACATAGATATGTATGTGTGTGTGTGCATAGTATATATATATGTATATACATATATATACACACATTTATATATATAAACATTTCCTTTAACCTCCTATTTTATTCCAATAAAAATATTGGTATTAGAGATAGTTCTGATATTTCATCATGAATAGTTAACATTGCATTTGGAAAGGATTAATTTTTTTGAAACGTAATTTTACCTTAATAAGTAGCCCAGCGTAATATTTTAGTAATTACACAGATTTTTTTTTCAAGACATTTGACAACTAATATTGCATAATAGTTAAGAGTGTGGGCTTTGGAGCCAGACTTCCTATCTCTGTTCATTCACTGATAAAATGGAGACAGTAGTAACTTCCTCAAAGAGTTGTTTTTTAAGATCAAATAATGCATATAAAACTCTTGAAATGGTACCAAATACAGAGTAAGCACCAAATAAACATTAACTGTTATTGTTATTCCATGTCCGAATAACACAGAAAAGTAAGAATTTTAATATTTCATTTGAATGACCTTTTAAGGATACACCTAGCCCATTATCTTTCTTGATAATCTTGTAAGATGATTCCTTTTTTATCTCCGATCTGTTGAGGCATGGATAGAGGTTTTCAGAGAAAACATTTTCTAGGTAACTGAAAGAAAGTAGCAACAACAAACTGTGACAAAACTTAACAATGAGAGAATTTACAAGATAGAATAATTGCAACTCCTTTTGAAATCAACCACTATGGTCCTCTGGCTGGGATAGCTAAGCAAAGATATTCCAGCCTGAAGGTTGAGATCTACTTGAAGAGTTTTCTATCCAGATTGTGAGGGCCCCTCAAACTTCACTTAGTATCTGTTTCTATTAGTATGGAAACTTCTGGAACCTTGTGGTATCACATTCACTTGACTACTTTATTCCTGCTCTAGCTATCTTAAAGCCTTTCTTAATCTTTTATCTTTTAGAGAAGATACTTCTAGGTTTTAAATCCACCGATCTTGAAGCTATTGCCTTCACTCTCTGCTTCAGAGCCCATCCTTTTGTATATGAGTAGTTTGTTTTGCCTAAAGTACTTTCTCCCAGTCAGATTTTAAGTCCAGTTTCTCATCTGTTTTTGAGAGCAAACTCCTGGGCCTTGGCTCACTAACATCTTGACAGCATATTTCTTCTTTCCTATGGGCTTTTCAGCATTCCCTGGGTTTTTCTAAAATATGAAAGCAGACTCTTTATCTCTTACTTTGTCAAAGCCTACCCTCCCCACTGATTTCTCACCCAGTTGCTAGTTTTAAGACCTGCCTCTGGCCGGGCGCAGTGGCTCACGCCTGTAATCCCAGCACTTTGGGAGGCCAAGGTAGGTGGATCACGAGGTCAGGAGATCGAGACCATCCTGGCTAACACAGTGAAACCCTGTCTCTACTAAAATTACAAAAAAATTAGCCAGGCGTGGTGGTGAGCGCCTGTAGTCCCAGCTACTCGGGAGGCTGAAGCAGGAGAATGGCGTGATCCCGTGAGGCAGAGCTTGCAGTGAGCTGAGATCGCGCCACTGCACTCCAGCCTGGGCGACAGAGCGAGACTCTGTCTCAAAAAAAAAAAAAAAAAAAAAAAAAAAAAAAGACCTGCCTCCAAATATCATTGTATTTGCAAACATGAAATGACTTATTGATTCTGAGCTCAGCACAAGAGCAAACCTTTCTCAGCTTGACCCATCTTCACATCGTTAATGTCTTATTCAGTCACTACCCAAGGGGCTGACCTTCAAGATTCTAATCCATGAAAGCTTAAAATAGTAAACAAATTTGAATATAGTTTAACATACATAATAAATTTTATTTCTAGAAGAGGAGGATCAGCCCTTAGACATGAAAAGTAAAAATAGTTTATTCCCAGATTTCCCTTTGTGCATTAGTATATTCAACCGAGTCTATCCAAGTAACAGGACAAAAAAAGCTGGCAGTTGTTGCTGCGCTGTGAAGTCTTATTAGGTGAGTCAGCTAATTATATGGCACTACCATAAATACAGCAGGCACTGCCCTGCTTGTTAGGCTTGCCAAGGAAAATAAGGATTTAAAGCAGCATACTACCTCTTTGCTATATAATGACATTTTCTTCTTAAAAATGATTTTGCACCAATTCCTGATTTATCCACCAATTATTTTTTAATTTATGGTTGAATGTATTTAAACCTGAATTCAGAGATAAAACTAGTAAATAGCTCCCCAAAATAACCCCAAATATATTTAATATATTAGCTTTACTCTCTCCTCCACTGCCAAACCTTTAAAAACTGAAATAAATTGTTTTTATTTCATCTTTTCTCTTTTTCTCTCTCTCTAAGGTGATTGCCAAGACTAAAGAAACAGCTAGAAGGGCAAAAGACAAGAAAATCAGTAAGATAGTAACAGATTATCCAAAGTAGAGCACGGCTCAGGTGCAGTGGCTCATGCCTGTAATCCCAGCACTTTCGGAGGCTGACGCAGGAGGATCACTTGAGTCCAGGAGTTTGAGACCAGCCTGGGCAACATAATGAAACTTCATCTCTATAAAAAAAAAAAATTTAAATAGCCGAGCATGGTGGTGTAAGCCTATAGTCCCAGCTATTTGGGAGGCTGAGGCTGGAGGATCACTTGGGCCCAGGAGTTGGAGACTACAGTGAGCTATGATTGTATCACTGCATTACAGCCTGGGCAATAGGGCAAGACCCTGCCTCTAAACAAAAGATAAACAAAGTAGAGCATAAATGGCTTCTAAATATATGTTATTTATGTGTAAGACTGGGTTCTCTAAAGGTATCATTTAATTAAAATAGATTTGCATTCTCAATCTGTAGGTATGGATTATGTATAATGTATTTAAGATATGACTTACAGCGTTCACCAATGTGACTATTCCCAAGTGATCCAGATGGCTGATGACATAGTAATTTGTACATTTGCTGAGACCTGATCTGAGTAGGTATGTAACATAACTGAGGGAGAGCAAGTCCATTTGCCGAAAGAAAGCCTAGCATATGACCCAGGAGCCACATCTTCACTCAGCCTTGTTGCTAGGTTTGGCTTAGCATATATAATAGCATAGCATGTATAATTTATGACAAAAAATTATACTTTGCACTTTTTAATTAGAACATTCAAAATGATCTCAGGAAGTGGCACCAGAGATCATCAGTGGTCTACTGTACTTCGTGTGTATGTGTCTGTGAGTATGTATGTGTTTGTGTGTGTTCCCACATTCTAAGGCATGTCTTTTACAGGTTAGTAGAAAATGTTGATAGAAAATTATAGATTTCAACATCTAAAACACAGTAGGTCACTACATTGTTAAAACTTGGAATTTTTTATCTTGTTGTAAAGTCAGGCCAACCAAACCTAAAATACTGCTACATTGAAATAGTGCAAAATATTCAAAATACTATAGTTATAGATTTGGTAGTAGGACTGTACCAGACCTGTCACTCTATACAAGACTTATGCCTTGCCCTTTCACTTACCTGTTCCCTTTTACATCTATCTTACTAGATGTAATGCTATAAATTATATTTCTAATATATTATAATTTATCATGTATTATAATGTATCAAATATTACAAATTATGTTGCAACTCCCCTTACCTTTCGTCTGCATATTGCCTCAGAAAGAACAGATGGATCCAACAGACTTCAACCACAGGCCCTTAGTGACAAATAGCTCTTAATGCTGGGCTTGCCACTTTGATGCATTTCTAAAGTTATAGAATGTTAAATGCACCAAGTCCTTTGGTCATTTTATTTCTACCTTAGATCTAAGCCATAACTATACTTTCCCAAAAATTAAAGTTTGAATTTTAACTTAACCATATATAATTGGAAAAGGAGGTTGGGTTCGTTAAGTGTAATTTTATCATGCTTTATTATCCTTTGGGCATTGGATACAGCAGAACATGCCAATTTCTATGGCTTCTCATGTGACAGAATATACTTACTAGGATGCAATTAAATACTCCTCAGAGTATGTAAACAATAAATGTAATCATTACATTATTTTTATATTGTTCTTTCTTATGCATAATAGTAAGACTGAAAATATAGTGTTATTTCTGAAATATGCATATTGTTTTGCTTTTGATGATTAAATAACATTGTCCAAAGTTTTAGGTTTTTTGAAATCTTATATTTTTTAACAAAATATCTAGCCTTTCCAAAACAAGACCTCAATAATTCGTTTAAGACCCAGAGTTGTTCCTCTCCACATAGATCTCTTAAAAAGGCAGAGGATTTATGACCTCAAGAGAAATCAGAGTATCCAAAGTTTGCTTTAATTCAATGTTTTAAAAATAAAATTCCTTAGATTTTATCAAAAATTGAGATTAGTTTGATTTTGAATCAGATGCCCTTTGCTCCCCACCCCAAAATGGCATTATGAGCAGACTAGGAATTGATAATAGAAAATTGAACATATGAAATATATCTTTACCTTGCTTTTTAACAAGGTATTCATGTCTATCGCCTTCATTTTTAAGTGCATCAATAAAATACATGGTAATTCTCTTAGTGAAATATACTATCTACACTATGTACACACTCCCCTGTCTGAGGTAGAGAAGTAGAGAATATTCACATTTTTGAAACGTCTATGCTATTTTTATTTAAATACGAGTTCTGGGCTTGATTTCATTTTGGAACACGGGTGTGTGCTTAAGTTGAACCTTTTTTTCCTCTTAAGTCAAAGTTCTTTTTTAGTTTCTTCTTTTATCTTTTTGGCTACTATCTCTCTCCTTCATCCTCCTGGTGTGAGTTGTTGAGTGAAGGTATTAATTCCATTATTTGAGGCTAAGTGACATTGTTCAATAATGCAGCAAAACAATGGTTCTACCCAAAATATCTTCAAGTGTAAAAGCAGTGGGCAAAAGAGAAAGTGCGCTTCTGCTGCTTTGAATGTTTAAGGCTGTGAAAGTTGATCACACAAATTGGGTCATTCTTGTTATACCCAACTAAAACAATCAAGAAGCCTGGGAGGAAAAGCATTCAAGAAACATCACATTGCTCCAAAAGTGTAATTTTCTACAAGTCCGCATGCTGAGGCTGCCTGTTGTAACCTGGGACCAATTTTTTCTGTAACTGCTGAAAAAACTTGCTGCAGCTCTAGGACTAATTTTGCCCACCACTGTCACTCACCAATTGAAGCTTACTAGCTCCCCAGAACCTTTCTAGTGCCAATGAACTTTCTCAAAGAGCAGCGTGTATCATTTCTCTTTTTCAGAACACCTCCAACCTCCTCTTTGTTCTTTGGGTATACCAAAGACCAACCAGCCTTGAATTTCAATTTTTCTTCCCACATAAAAGTTTTAATTTAGAAATGTATCTCTACATTTCTAACTTTGACAAAGCATAGATACCAGATAATTGATGAAACCTTGCTATTTTAACGATCACCATGGATTACTTCCCAGTGTCTTCAGATAACCCTCAACATTTGCCAACATTTGATGGACTTCAAAATGAGCATATCTTTTTTAAAAAAAATTATTCACACTGACAGCAAGTACATTGGTATACTCTATATTAAATTATACCACAGGGTTTACAAACAATTGGTGATGTCGGGCAGTGGTTTCCAAGGAACATACTTAACAAGACACTCACAAGGCCCTACAAACCTGCATTTTTAACAAGGGCCCTAGATGATTCTAGAAGAGTGTGGTTTGGAAAGCAATTTTTGCCTTTATTATGTGTCATTTTAAATATATTTAAAATTAAAGTTATAAGTCATAGAATTGAATAAAGATAATTTCCTTACAGAAAGTATTACTAGGTATCTAAATACAATATGGTTCAAAACAGGAAATTTAAAAAGATTATGTAAATTCTGTAGTTGTATTCCTAAAGACAGTAGCTGAAATTTTTTCCTACTTCTCCTTGTATCACTTCCCTTTTCCTTCACTTTCACTTCCCTGGAATTGTACTTCCCAATAAGCTATTAGCAGTGAAGGAAGCTTCGTCTCATGATCTGTTTTATAGAGCACTTCAGCTGGGACGAGTACGAAATGATAATCAGTTATATCAGCTATTCAACCCTACAGGTTTATTTAAAAAGAACTTGAATAAGCTTTTTAGGGAGAAAGAGGTCAGTCTCAGCCATTTCTGTTTCCTAATATAGCTTTTAAGTCTTTCCTTATTAGCAATGAGGGTCATTCCATTGTAATTTTTTGATAACCATTTTTCTTTCTGTGTGTCAAATGCAGATATAAGATACTGAACTGAGTCTATTTCACTGTTCGTAAAACAATCCCATTTGAAAAAAAAAAGTCTACAGCTATTCCAGGGATAGGGCCTAGTAGAGAGAGAATAAAAGGTATTTTCTTACTATGTCTCTATATCCTACCCTGTAGGTTCTCTTATTAAGCATACAGGCATATACCAAAATCCAGACGTTTTTCTCATTTATTTTATTGCCCTAACATATTCTGGGTTAATATAATATCATAATGAAAATTTGAGAAAAAATTGATTTTTTCAAAAGTGTTTAACATTTGTTATATTGGTAGTTTTTTTTCTTGTTTGTGGTAAAAATAAATAGAAGGTGCACTTCACACCTTCAAGTATGATTATATTTTGAAAACAAGTCATGAATACTCATAAAATGCAAATTTTAATGTTCTTTTTTTGTTACAGCCAAACTATATTAGGCACAGTTGTAAATTGGAGTTGAAATTTAATATTTCTTTATAGATAACAATGTTTTTAGAAATAGGTTTATGAAACAGTAAATATACAGGTATAGGGATAAAATTGTGTCTGATGGTCATATGAAGTGTTTGTTGTTATATTCTCCTTGGAATAGCTGCCAAATATTTTAGTATGCTTAAAATCTACGAATGTGATAGAGTCAACAAATTTAGATCACATATTCAGAAAAACATAGTTAGAGAACTAACTATTGAAATGAGCATACAGCAGTCTTCCTTTATCTACAGGGATACATTCTGAAACCCCCACTAGGACACCTGAAATTGCGGATAGTAGCAAACCCTACATATACTGTTTTTTCCAATGCTTATGTACCTATGAAAAAGTTTAATTTATAAACTAGGCACAGTAAGAGATTAACAACAATAACTAATAACAAAAGAGAACAATTATAATAATATACTGTAATAAAAGTTATGTGGGTATGGTCTCGCTTTCTCTTTCCCTCTCTCTCTGTCTCTAAATATCTTAGTATTTTGGGGTTGCAATTGGTGGTGGGCAACTGAAACCATGGAAAACAAAACCACGGATAAAAGGAGACTACTGTATATACTTTTTAAAACTGATGAAATATTAAACTCATGTTTCTTCTATATCCCACCCATTTCCCCCACCCAAACCTAGATAGATATCTTATTTGATCTGTAAACATTTAATTAATTTGTAAAAGTTAAGAACTTTTTGAAGTAAAACTGCAATATATCATCACACCTAAAGAAATAAACAATAATTCTTAAATATCAAGTCAGTGTTCAAATTTCCCCAACTACCTCATATGTGTTTTCCATTTGCTTATGTAGGGTTCCCAATGAGAATGAAATAAAGTTCTTAGGTTGCAATTGGCTAATGCTCTCTCACTTCTACTTTAAGCGGCAGGTTCCCACTAACTTCTTTTTAGTTGCAATTTACTTATTGAAATTAGACGTATTCTTTGTCTTGTGTAGTTTCTCACAGTGCAAAATTTGCTGATTGTAGCCACTGTTGTAAGCAATGAACATGTTTTTCACCACCTTATATTTGCTGTAAGTTGTCAGTGATAGTTAAATGTTAATCAAATTCAAATTCGGATCACGTAGGGCTTTTCTTTTTTTGTTTTCTTTTTCTATTTATATATTTATTTATTTATTTTGAGACGGAGTCTCACTCCGTCACCAGGCTGGAGTGCAATGGTGTGATCTGGGCTCACTGCAATCTCCACCTCCCGGGTTCAAGTGATTCCCCTGGCTCAGTCTCCCGAGTAGCTGGGACTATAGGAGAACCACCACGCCCGGCTAACTTTTTGTATTTTAGTAGAGATGGGGTTTCACCATGTTGGCCAGGATGCTATAGATCTCCTGACCTCACCGATCATGTAGGACTTCAATTGTCGAACAAACGAACCTTTAATAGCAGTTACACCATTAGGATGACCTGATCCAACATCGAGGTCGTAAACCCTATTGTCGATTTGGACTCTAGAATAGGATTGTGCTGTCATCCCTAGTGTAGCTTGTTCCCACTTGATGAAGTTATTGGATCAGTGAACAATAGCCCACTTAAACTAGTACAGTCTTAGTTTAAGATGGTGATGTGTATGTACTTCCATCAGAGGGCACATAATACAGTAAATCCTCACTTAACTTCATCAATAGTTTCTGGAAACTGTGACTTGAAGCAAAACAACATATAACAAAACCAGTTTTACCATTGGCTAATTGATATAAGCAAGAATTAAGTCCTATGGCAAATTTCTGGACACAAAAACACCATCAAACTCCTAAATAAAGATAAATCACTTCTGACATTAAACATTGAAATTAATGTGAGCTATATATACGTTTAAGAAAGATTAATACAAACAAGTCAAATAACTTACCTAATTATTTCGGTGGAGGCCGCAGGTGGTTGGAGCCTATCCTGGCAGCTCAGGGAGCAATATGGGAACCCACCCCGGACAGGACGCTGTTCCATTACTGCAGGGTGCTCTTGTACACACCCACTCACCCAGGCTGGAACCATGCAGACACACACACTCACCTAACCTACACATCTGTGTACATCCTTCAAAGTTCAGCCAAATAACATATAAACAAATCCAGTAATATCCATCAGTCTTAGTTCCGTCATAACAACTCCTTTTTGATCATCAAACAACAAACAGGGTAGGTCTGCCATATTTACTTGTCTGGTCCATATCAAAATTTTCTAACAAATTATATTAGAAAATCAAATCTCTGTCAGTTTCAAAATCATGGAAAAAAATTTGCCTTATTTCCCTTATACTTGGATATCCTAACAGTAATCTAAATATTAATGAGAAAGTTAATGATGTCGTTTCCTTCTCCCTGTTGTAAAGAAGGTTTTGCTGTCCCGTTTGATCACTAAGACTAATTGACACTCAGAAAAAGCATAGGAAACTTCTCAGCATCACAAAAGCTCTGTCATCTAGAGAAGCTAGGACTTGAGCTCAAGTCCTGTGACATGGAAGGCCTTGTGCCTAGCCATCCTGCAGCAGAGGCGTATCTACCAAGAAGTGAAACACTACGAAAACAGTATGTTTACTCCACATTTTAAAGTGAGGTAGTTTGGGGTGGTTCATATTTTATTTAATTTATATATTATTTGGATTTTTTTTAGTTTATAAAAAGGGCATTGGCAAGGGCAGAATGATCTGTAAGCTTCTCTGCCCACCTACCATAAGCATGATCTTTAGTGTGACCTTTTCTTACTGTTAGCCATTTTCTTATACTTCTGCGTCCCTGTCAGTCACTTCCATGTGAAGACATGGGGAAGCTTTTTTACATCAGACATGTTGTTGAAAATCAGCCGCGTTGGCTGAGGGATTATTTGATCTCTTTCTCCAAGTCCCTTTAGGCTCACATTGCCTCTCTGTTCTTTGAATTTTCACTTACCTTTATCTTCTTATAATTACTTTGCTGAAATAAATGCAAAGCAACAAAAGGTATTTAGTGAAGAATACCAACAAAGCCATGACCATTTCAGGCTGAGTTTTGTAGTATTCTTTGTCTAGGAAGAGATACCTAGAAAAATTTTCTGACCATGTATTTGATTATTTTCCTTCAATATGTATAGTCTCAGTCTTCAAATTTCAGAAAAGAATTTGTTTCTTCATTGTCATTTAAAATTAATGTGTTAAATATGTATGCTTTTACATTATAAGTGGTTATAAAAGTTAAACACTTAGAAAAAAAGTCAAAATAACATACATACTATCCAACAAAATAACTTTCATATTTTATTGTGTTTTCTTCCAAACTTTTTACCTTTGCGTCTGAATTCTGTGTAGGTTGTATCTATAATATAGACAACACTTTATAGCCTGCTAAATATTATACCATAAATAGGTAGTTGTTACATAATTCTCAGGTAATAGTAATACAGGTCTTTATCATAATCTACTGAGTAGTTGAATGATAATTTTTTTTAAGACAAGGTCTCCCTCTGTCACCCAGGCTAGAATGCAGTGGCATGCACATGGCTCACTGTAGCCTCTACCTCCCAGGCTCAAGTGATCCTCCTGCCTCAGCCTCCCAAGTGGCTGGGACTGTAGGCATGTGCCACCATGCCCAGCTATTTATTTGTATTTTTAGTAGAGATGGGGTTTCATTGTAACAGCCCAGGCTGGTCTTGAACTCCTGGACTCAAATGATCCACCTGCCTCAGCCTCCCAAAGTGCTGAAATCACAGGAGTGAACCACTGCACCCAGCAATAATTTTTTAACTCTTCATTATTCATTGAACATTTAGTTAACAATTCTAAAAATTTTGTTTCCTGCTGTCATTGATCTTGTGAAAAATATCTTTGGACTATAGCTGTGGATTATTTCCTAAATAGTAAATTACTTGAGCAAAAAGTTTACATACTTTGAGGGTTGATAACCCATGTTGCCGCAATGTTTCCCCGGAGGCATTGTGGAGTTTAGAATGCCAGTAGTAATATTAAGGTGTGCCATTTTCAAGATCCGTGGCCAACATCCCTATATGTAAGATTTTTCCAAAACATGGTTCTGATTTTTAAAAGTGAAAAATGCTACTTCATCATGTTCTTTTTGTGCTTCTTACTTTAAATATTAGAATGAAGAAGGAGCCCCACAGGAAGGAATTCTGGAAGATATGCCTGTGGATCCTGACAATGAGGCTTATGAAATGCCTTCTGAGGTAGGAGTCCAAGCTGAATCTTTCTAACAAGACAGTACCAAAAACCTGTCATTGTCACATTTCTCTTTCATTAGTGCTTAGTGAGAATCATTTGCTCTCTACATGCTCATTACGTGGACAACTTGCAAGTTAAGAATAGTTTTTACATTTTTAAAGGGTCCTTAAAAAAAAAGAGGAGGAGGAAGATGAAGAAGAGGAAGAAAGGATGTAAAAGAAATCATATGTAGTCCACATAGCTTAATATACTTACTACTTGACCCTTTACAGGAAAAGTTTACTAACCCCTGCATTAGAGAATATATTTTTAGAAACTTTACATTCTAAAATAAATTTCTAAATGGAAAGTTAGGGAAATCAATGGAATGCCAAAGGAAGGTTATTATTTTTTGCCATACATGTCCAATGGGATGACGCATAGTAAAATAAAAGTTACCCACACAAGTTATAGAATAAAAAGATAAATGCATGATTTGCGACAATTGATATATTCCAGTATAATGTTTTAAACAACACAATATGATTGTTAATTTTATTTTGATTGAAAATGAAAGTATCTTTAATAGAAAATGTATCAAAAGGGAAATTAGAAAATACTGTTAGATGAATAAAACTGGCCCAAGAAGAAACAGTAAATCTGAATAGATTTGTAACACAGCGAATAGATTAAATTAGTAATAAAAAAAAAAACCTACCTGCAAAGAAAATCCCAGGCCGAGATGGCATCACTGGTAAATTCTACCAAACATTTAAAGAGGAATTAATACTAATTAGTTAACACCAATTAATATCTCTTACAAAACAGAAGAGGAGACATTTCCCAACTAATTTTGTGAGACCAATATTACCCTGATAATCAAAACCAAATGAAGATATCACAAGAAAAGAAACTATATAATGGCTCCATTAAAAATTGAGTTCAAGTATGTTGTAGTTTGGTTATGTATTATTCCTCACGGCATTATTAAAAGGCATGTCGAGGATGGGCACAGCAGTTCACACCTGTAATCCCGCACTTTGTGAGCCAAAGTGGCCAGGTTACTTGAGGCCAGGAGTTGGAGACCAGTCTGGCCAACATGGTGAAACCCCATCTCTACTAAAAATACAAAAATTAGCCGGGCATGGTGGTACACGCCTATGGTTCCAGCTACTTGGGAGGCTGAGGCATGAGAGTCACTTGAACCCAGGAGGCAGAGGTTGCAGTGAGCTGAGATGGCACCCCTGCACTCCAATCTTGGTAACAGAGCAAGACTGTCTCACACAGACACACGAAAGGCATATTGATAATAATTCAACTTATAGAAATTGAGATTAAATTGTTTGTTTGCCTAATAAGAATTTCCAATATTTTGGGGTCTTTTATGCAAGACACAGTACTAAACACAATGGAAAACTATAGAGTAATTGACATTACCAGGACATAAGGAGTTTACAGTCTGGTAGGTTTGATGAAAAAAAATAGAAATTCATTCATTCATTTCTTCATTATGATTCCTTTAACAAACATAATTGATTGTCTTCGATGTACCAGGCATCACAGGAGCAAAAATATATAAGACATACTAAAAAGTAAAACATTTTAAAGATCTGTTTCAATCAATCAGGAGAAGTTTTATTGAGGAGGTAATGTTGATCTGGGTGGGAAAAGGTAAGAGATATAGTAGGTCAAAACAAACAGAGGACATTCTGGCACAAGGGAATATCAGAAGCAAAGGCATGTATGTCTGAGCATGCAAATGGATATGTCTGAGAACAGTGAATAATTATGACTCAAGCTTAGGAACAAGGAAAATGGTGATAGATTGAATTTGCAGCTATGGGTCAAAGACAAGTTATAGAGTATTAGGATAATCTTGTCATTTCAGCTTGTATTCTATTCAGAAAACAACTTGAGTTATTGAAGTTATGCTTATTTGTTTGTTTTTAAGCAGAATCCTGATATTATTAGAGTTGCTCTTTAGGAGGAATAATCTGATCCCTTTAATTAAATCCATTAATATTTGTGTTGTGGATGCTATCCAGATACTGTATGGAGAGCTTGAGGTTTGAAATACAAGTAATAATTGAAGCCATAGATGAAGACGAAATTTTCAACTGGGAGAGTGAAAGTAGGGAAAATGTATCTTGCCTTCAAACATCTTAATTTCCTTCTGAGAATTAGAGCATCTTAGTCTGGAAAAGGCTTTATAGACAGCTTGATTTTGTTCTCACATTTTACAGGTGAAGAAACTGAGAACCAGACAGTCCAACTTATTTGTCCTACCAAACTAGGTATATGATCATTAAATGGTGCATCCGGATCAGAACCTAGATATTTTAACTCTGACTACTACTGTAATTCACTTTTATATCAGACAAGAAAGACACAACTATTAAAAATAAGATAATATTTGCTGCAGAATATTTGCAAAAACATTGATTGTAAATTTTAGTGTAAGTGGGGAGCCATTTCCTATCTCATTGGCTGTCAGTGCTGATGCGTAATTGAAACTTATACTAACAGTGTGTGCTGTCTTTTTGATTTTTCTAATATTAGGAAGGGTATCAAGACTACGAACCTGAAGCCTAAGAAATATCTTTGCTCCCAGTTTCTTGAGATCTGCTGACAGATGTTCCATCCTGTACAAGTGCTCAGTTCCAATGTGCCCAGTCATGACATTTCTCAAAGTTTTTACAGTGTATCTCGAAGTCTTCCATCAGCAGTGATTGAAGTATCTGTACCTGCCCCCACTCAGCATTTCGGTGCTTCCCTTTCACTGAAGTGAATACATGGTAGCAGGGTCTTTGTGTGCTGTGGATTTTGTGGCTTCAATCTACGATGTTAAAACAAATTAAAAACACCTAAGTGACTACCACTTATTTCTAAATCCTCACTATTTTTTTGTTGCTGTTGTTCAGAAGTTGTTAGTGATTTGCTATCATATATTATAAGATTTTTAGGTGTCTTTTAATGATACTGTCTAAGAATAATGACGTATTGTGAAATTTGTTAATATATATAATACTTAAAAATATGTGAGCATGAAACTATGCACCTATAAATACTAAATATGAAATTTTACCATTTTGCGATGTGTTTTATTCACTTGTGTTTGTATATAAATGGTGAGAATTAAAATAAAACGTTATCTCATTGCAAAAATATTTTATTTTTATCCCATCTCACTTTAATAATAAAAATCATGCTTATAAGCAACATGAATTAAGAACTGACACAAAGGACAAAAATATAAAGTTATTAATAGCCATTTGAAGAAGGAGGAATTTTAGAAGAGGTAGAGAAAATGGAACATTAACCCTACACTCGGAATTCCCTGAAGCAACACTGCCAGAAGTGTGTTTTGGTATGCACTGGTTCCTTAAGTGGCTGTGATTAATTATTGAAAGTGGGGTGTTGAAGACCCCAACTACTATTGTAGAGTGGTCTATTTCTCCCTTCAATCCTGTCAATGTTTGCTTTACGTATTTTGGGGAACTGTTGTTTGATGTGTATGTGTTTATAATTGTTATACATTTTTAATTGAGCCTTTTATTAACATATATTGTTATTTTTGTCTCGAAATAATTTTTTAGTTAAAATCTATTTTGTCTGATATTGGTGTGAATGCTGTACCTTTCTGACAATAAATAATATTCGACCATGAATAAAAAAAAAAAAAAAGTGGGTTCCCGGGAACTAAGCAGTGTAGAAGATGATTTTGACTACACCCTCCTTAGAGAGCCATAAGACACATTAGCACATATTAGCACATTCAAGGCTCTGAGAGAATGTGGTTAACTTTGTTTAACTCAGCATTCCTCACTTTTTTTTTTTAATCATCAGAAATTCTCTCTCTCTCTCTCTCTTTTTCTCTCGCTCTCTTTTTTTTTTTTTTTTTACAGGAAATGCCTTTAAACATCGTTGGAACTACCAGAGTCACCTTAAAGGAGATCAATTCTCTAGACTGATAAAAATTTCATGGCCTCCTTTAAATGTTGCCAAATATATGAATTCTAGGATTTTTCCTTAGGAAAGGTTTTTCTCTTTCAGGGAAGATCTATTAACTCCCCATGGGTGCTGAAAATAAACTTGATGGTGAAAAACTCTGTATAAATTAATTTAAAAATTATTTGGTTTCTCTTTTTAATTATTCTGGGGCATAGTCATTTCTAAAAGTCACTAGTAGAAAGTATAATTTCAAGACAGAATATTCTAGACATGCTAGCAGTTTATATGTATTCATGAGTAATGTGATATATATTGGGCGCTGGTGAGGAAGGAAGGAGGAATGAGTGACTATAAGGATGGTTACCATAGAAACTTCCTTTTTTACCTAATTGAAGAGAGACTACTACAGAGTGCTAAGCTGCATGTGTCATCTTACACTAGAGAGAAATGGTAAGTTTCTTGTTTTATTTAAGTTATGTTTAAGCAAGGAAAGGATTTGTTATTGAACAGTATATTTCAGGAAGGTTAGAAAGTGGCGGTTAGGATATATTTTAAATCTACCTAAAGCAGCATATTTTAAAAATTTAAAAGTATTGGTATTAAATTAAGAAATAGAGGACAGAACTAGACTGATAGCAGTGACCTAGAACAATTTGAGATTAGGAAAGTTGTGACCATGAATTTAAGGATTTATGTGGATACAAATTCTCCTTTAAAGTGTTTCTTCCCTTAATATTTATCTGACGGTAATTTTTGAGCAGTGAATTACTTTATATATCTTAATAGTTTATTTGGGACCAAACACTTAAACAAAAAGTTCTTTAAGTCATATAAGCCTTTTCAGGAAGCTTGTCTCATATTCACTCCCGAGACATTCACCTGCCAAGTGGCCTGAGGATCAATCCAGTCCTAGGTTTATTTTGCAGACTTACATTCTCCCAAGTTATTCAGCCTCATATGACTCCACGGTCGGCTTTACCAAAACAGTTCAGAGTGCACTTTGGCACACAATTGGGAACAGAACAATCTAATGTGTGGTTTGGTATTCCAAGTGGGGTCTTTTTCAGAATCTCTGCACTAGTGTGAGATGCAAACATGTTTCCTCATCTTTCTGGCTTATCCAGTATGTAGCTATTTGTGACATAATAAATATATACATATATGAAAATATGTATTTGGTTTCTGCCTCCAGTTCTTACAAAGAGCTCCTAAAACCCTTGTAATTTCCTGAGTAGTAGGGGTGCTAGGGTCATCTTTTGTTCTAATATTTGGTCTTTGACTCTGCTTTCTGACAGAGCTCCTTAGTCCCTGGGTGAGAGTAGCATCTTCTCTTCTAATGAAGTGACTCTTGCTGGGTTCCTGGATGGGGGCTGGTCACCAGAAAGGTCAAGCCATGATAAGAAGCTTGAAGCTTTTGGCCCCATTCACATCTTCTGGGGACGGGAGAGAAGAGGAGCTGGAGATTGAGTTAATAAGCAACAATGCTTCCATGATGAAGACTCCATAAAAATCCCTAAAAGACAGGATTCAGAGTGCTTTGAAATAGGTGAACATGCAGAGGTGCTGGGAATTGTGGTGTGTCCAGAGAAGGCATGCAAGCTCCCCACGCCTCCCCCATACCTTTCCCTGTGCATCTCTTCCATCTGGCTGTTCCTGAGTTGTATCCTTTTATAACAAACTGGTAATCTAGTAAGCAAACTGTTTTCCTGAAGTCTGTGAATCACACTAGCAAATTATCAAACCTGAGGAGAGGGCCGTGGAGACCTTGGATTTGTAGACAAGTCAAACAGAAGCTATGAGTAACATGAGGACTCATTGCTTGTGATTGTCATCTTCAGTGGGAAGGGGAAAAATCTTGTAAAACTGAGTCCTTAACCTGTGGGTCAATGCTAACTCCAGGTAGATAGTGTCCGATTTGAATTACGGGACACCCAGTTGGTAGCCACAAAGAATGGGAGAATTGCTTGGTGTAGAAAACACACCCCACACACACATGTGGTGTCAGAAATGAACCGGAAATATTGTGTTCCGGAAATATTGAGTGTTGTGAGTGAGTGTATAGAAAGAAAAACAGCGTTTCCTTTTCACTACTAGATTAAAACAAACACACTCATGCATTCACACATCTCAAAGACAACTATTAATTCTCAAAGACAGTGCTGTCTAAATCCATACTGAGGAAGAAAACACATTTTCTTTTCAAATCTGTAAACCTGACAGACTGCCTCTGTCCACACACTAATGGAACTCTGTGTTTCATCTGAAATGTGTTCATCCCACTTTGTTCTTTCTGTCTTGGGCAGGGCAAGAGTGCAACAGGGCTGACATTTTCATATGAGCTCTGTCCCTGTTATTGGCTATACTTTAGACAAATTATTATGTGTCAAATATAGATGTAAGTGATTTATCAATATTAAGTCATTTAATTCTCAAAACAACCTTAATAGGTTCCATTATGATTCTAATTTTACACATAAGCCAAAGGAGGCACCCACAGGCTAGATAACTTTCCCACGGCCACACAGCTAGTAAGCGGCAGAGCCAAGAGGCCCAACATTACAGCACCACAGTCTGTGCTCTCAGCCCCTTGGCCACATAGTGTCAGAGTGAGGACACACAGCTATTTAAGAAAACTTCCAGAAGTCTAGGAAATGGGGTGATAGCCCCACTTTTCTAGGTATAATAATTAGATATTTGTTTTTCTTCAGGTACCTAAAGAAAATTTACTAGAGTTTGAGCCTTTAGTAAGTTTTGCTAGTACATCTGTTTTTCTTCAGGTGCCTGAAGACAAACATATACACACACACACACACACAAACACACACAAAATGTGTATCTATATATATGTGTACACATATCTCTCATCTCTATATATATGTCTCTGTATATCTATATATCTATAAACATATCTATATCTATAGATACATATAGAGAGATTTCTTTTTTTTTTTTTTTGAGATGGAGTCTTGCTCTTGCCACCTAGGCTGGAGTGCAATGGCACAATCTCAGTTCACTGCAACCTCCGCCTCCCAGGTTCAAGCGATTCTCCTGCCTCAGCCTCTCGAGTAGGTGGGATTACAGGAACACACCACCTTAGCCCGACTAATTTTTGTATTTTTAGTAGAGACAGGGTTCACCACGTTGGCCAGGCTGGTCTCAAACTCCTGACCTCAGGTAATCCACCTACCTCGGCCTCCCAAAGTGCTGGGATTACAGGTGTGAGCCACCATGCCTGGCCAAGATTTCTAATTCTAAGAGAAATTAGCACCTGATAGGTATTTCCTTGTAAATAAACCGGGCATATCCTGATTATAGAACTAAGTTAATTATTTTCCGTGGAAGATACGAATGTTGATGCAATAAGAGCAGCAGTCTACAGTAAGGTGGGCTTTGTAATTTTCTGTGTTGAATCATGGCATGGGTACTTGGCTTATGTCAAATAGACAAAAAAATATAAATTAAGGTATAACTGGGATTGTCAATTATACATATTTAGTAATGGAATGAATGAATTTATAAATAGATAGTAAAGGGCATGAATTAAGAATCTATAGGTATAAATAATATTAGCAACTTAATATTGTATAATAAAGTTTGATTTTCTAGGTGTAGTTGATTGATGCAGTAATGTTCGTTTTATCCTTTGAGTAAGCCTAGAATTGAAGAACCCAAAATGCAATAGAATAGATATAACATTGAAACTATTCCTAAATATGATTTTAGTTCCAATGTTCTTTGTGTAATTACCTAAGCTTTTCTTTAATGTTTTTGCTGCTACTACAGTATCCTTAATTATTTGAAATCTTATATTGGAAGCAGTTAAACCACATTCCTTCAAAGAGCCCTTAGTTTGAGCCTCTAGTAAGTTTTGCTAGTATAATTTGGTTTTAAAATTGGCTAGAATTGCATAGGGAATTTCCATAACGTATAGTTGATCTGCAACTATAGGTTAACATACTAGGATGGCTTCTCTTATGAACCTTATGAAAATACATCCTCAGATTCCCTGGAAGGTCAGTGACCAGAAATCCTCGTTGTTTCTATGGCAACACAGCAAGATATGGTGCCTTGGAAATGTGCTGCATTTTAATTAGGTTCCTCTAGGGCTTCCTAACTGCCTTTTGCAGGTAAACTAAATATCAGATTGCCTTTTATCTTGCAACAAAATGAAACCTAACCCATGTCTGTAAATGTCAAAGCTAAGCTGTGTTCCAGTAAAGCTGAATCCAAACAAATATAGTAGCAAGTCATGTTTTTATCTTAGAAAAGAATACAATACTCTTTACCTAGAATAGTCAAGGATGCTGCTTAATGAGGTAGGTTAGAGTAATAGAGACTATCCTGAACTCCAAAACTATTAATAGACTATGGAACTTCGACTCCCATTTATGTCTCTTACTACTTAATATTAGTGTCTCTGTTTCCTTATATGTAAATATGCAAATGATAAAAATAGTGCCTCATAGCATTGTTGCATGCATTAAGTGAGTTAATGTAAGTGGAATACTTAGGACTGCCTGGCTGATAGTAAGTGATCTATGAGTCAATGATGCTATTTATTAGTAGTAGTACTAGTACAGCACACTGTATTTTTAAAGGTAAATAAGAAATAACAATTTTTTTAAATGTTCATATACATTCACATGTCTTCTTTTAATATAAAATAGCAATCAAGATCAGGATAATGGTAGAGATATTTTGGAGACACAAGGCAGAAGCTATTTACTAATAGCTAGGGGAGCATTTTACTAGTTTACTAACCAATATTACTATACTTATGTGTACTTAGCAGAATATCACCTAGCACCAAAAAGAAATTAAGAAAGTGTAACTTACTGAGAAGTGAATATGCACCAACTCCATAAACACTATGTTTATGGAACACATCTAACTTTAGACTTAGCTATACTCATCGACTCACATATCTTCTCATCCAAGTGGGATGTGTTTAATATTTACCATATATTCATAAGTTCACTGAGTATTGTTCTGGTAACTAGAAAAAAAAAAGGACAAGCATATATAAGTAAAACTCACTGATTTAAAACAGAGTATTATCAACTACAAAAGAAAAAAAAAACCACTTGAACCTCCACTGATTTCTCAAATCTCATTTATTTCCCATTATCTTCCCTCATACCTCTTGCATTTATTTGGTTAAATTTCTTTTTGATCCAAAAGGAAGCAATGTTTACCTGACAATTTCTACTTTATGCCAGAACAACAAATGTACCAGCAATTACAATATTTCCAAGAAAAGTATTGTTTGTTTTCTCTTCATGTCTTTGGTGAGTCTCTCGGAATTAGGATCAAAAAAGAACGCATGAGCTGGTGAGATGTTTGTTATTGTCCTCTGTCAGATTTTCCTGTGCAGCAGTGTGGAAAGTAGGTAAGTAGGGCAGTGCATACTTGTCCTTTTGCCTTCTGGACACTGTACGACTACCTAGGAATTGAGAGTAGCAGAAAATTATTGTTGAATACTACGTTTCCTAACAAAATCAACTCTTGTAAAAAAACAAATGAAGACTAAATATGGACAGATGAGCCTCTAGAACGTACTACGTGTTGTGTAAGGCGTCATCCAAATCTCTATGGAAATGGTCAAAGCAAGTTTTGAGAGGCTGCCAAACATTAGTAATGTGGCAGCACTGACTCCTGCTGTTGAAGATGGAGTGTCCATGTTGAATGATTAGAAATCTGGCAAGTCTTTTTGGCAAACTTCCTTGGAAATCCATCTTGGGCATCCTTAGCTGTTTGTGCCATCCTTTAGCTAGGTTAGGCCACTTGTCTTAGATCGATGGGCAAAAGGGTAACAGCTGAGAAAAAGACCTTTCCTACAATTTTCTTGATCTCATCTAAAGCAAAAGAAGACATATCTCTGAAGGAACTGTAAATTATGTATTGTTAACAACTGATTCTGAGCTCTGATTATCACAGCAATGTTTGGAGGTGAATACTGGTGGTTACTTGGTGCCATTCTAAGAAGGAGTCCAACACAATCCAAAGTTATGTTTAAGAACAGCTCTGTACATCAATATTATGGAGTTTCCATGGCTGTGTTTTCACTGCCCATGGTGAGAATAGACATTCAAATGCTACACTGTGTTGGTTTTTGATGATCAGACCTACTTCCAGGCTGTTAGGTATAGGTTTTAGTCATGATTTTCATGCCAATTATTTCTGGACATGTCAGAAACAGTTCATTTGAAGTAATTCTTTCTGGAATAACAATGATTTCCACACTACAGCCCCCTTTTATAGATGAGAACTCATATTGACAGTCTGCAATTGACTGAATTTCTTTTTTTTGAGCAGTATCTTTTCTGACAAATCATTCCATCCAGCTCCCATATACACCCAGCAGCAGTGCAGGAAAGACTGACCTGTAGTCTTCATATATAATTATGGAATGTGTTCAATATGAAAATGTTAATAGCTAATTTTTAACACTTGATATCTATATGTTTCTGACTTCCGAATGCATTTTTTATTTGTATTCCACTTACCCACAAAAAACTGACCTGGCTTAAAATAAACACACAAACCACCAAGCAAACAAAAAATTACACTGGACTATGAAATAAAGCTAAATTTTTCGTAAGTGAGAAATCACTTACATATATAATGAGGAAATGAGACTACTGAGAATATGGTACAGAATAATGTAGTTATATCCTACACTTAGATCTAAGTTTCTTAGTAGCCAAATCTATAAGAGCAACACAAAGATCACATAGTTTTCAATGTCTGTAGAAAGAACCCATTTGGCTATTGTTATTGTTTGTGATTATTATTATTATTTTGCATTTATTTTTCCAATTTAATATTCAATAGCAGCTTATTACCAAACAACTCTTTTAAAAACATGACAGTCAAATGGCAGCCTTCCAAATCATAATTCCCTCCAGTCAAAGACATATTCACAATTGGTATCTCTTCCGAGGAAGAAATAGTGGCAGTCCCAGGACATCCTCGTGATGGAGTACTGAATAAGCTATGGCATTTTCCCTTTTAGTGCAGGCCCTGCACAGGATGGGCGGAATAGATAGGTACAGTTTGTCATTCTTCTGTGTTTCTAGAAGCAGCTAGCCAAAGTTTGAGGGTCTGCCTACCCAGTGACAGAATTAAAAGCATTCCTTTTCCTTAGGAGAAAGGCCCAGTGGAATGATCTGTACAAACGGTGAAGGCATCCCACAATATTCATGTATAGAAGACTCAGGTGCTTGTAGTACAAGATATGTTAGGAGAAAAGACCTTTTGAAATTTACTCATCTATGGGAAGAAGGAAACGCTGGGAAGAAGTCCAGATATAGACAACAGGGAGACCATACAACAAATGACAGTACGCTGAAGGTCCAACAAGAAGGAGCTAGAAACATGCAGGAGAAGCAGCACTGAGAACAGGGAAACAAGTGCTATTCACCCAGGCAGAGTCAGGGAAGATTGAAAGCAAACAGCACCACCCCTACCCAAGTCAGGGGTTTAGCAGTGAGATTCTGGAACCTTCTGTGAATTGGCAAGACTAAAATTAGACTACAGGCCAAAAGACTAGCATCCTGAAGAGATTAACAATAAGCTCTACTTAAAATACCTTATCACCATATCAACTAGCCCAAAATTTCAGCCTTGACTCACAGGCATTTGGCAAAAGAATAAGCAACGCTCTTACCATGCTATTGAGACTTTGAGAAATTTTACATTTTTAAGAAAGGTTGGTGTTGCTGTTGAGAATTCTGTTTAGAACCAAATGTTTCCATACATATCTGAGGCCAAGGTGAAGCAGAAATATGAAAAATGCTATTTTGCCAGATACTTGGGCCTTGCATTCTCTAAACTGCATCGCACATTTCAGTTCACTGTTTTGTTTTCTTTCACAGAAAAATCAAAGCACTGAAACATACAAATTCCAGGAAGTAAATTGATTGGCACTGTGCATTCTGAAAATCCTCAAAGCATACATTTGAAAAAGTTTAGGTTTCTAGGTGGAGTCGTGACTGTATTTACGTTGCCTGTGGCTACCTAATTAATTTTCTTCTTGGTAGATGTGTTCATGCTGTTCAGTTCAGACAGGAGTTGAGAGTGAGATTGCCATAGGGAGATTCCCCAAGTGACAGCAAAGAGAGTACAGTTTAAAACAGCCTAGATTGTTAAAAGGTACAAAAAAAATTAGAGTGAGACCAGATCAAGATTTAGGATCTAACAGAGATGTAGGAAGAAAAATCAGTCTAAGCAGTTCCGTACGTCAGGGTCTAGCAAACCATTAGTGCTGACAGCTCTCCCAGAAGACTCATCTCCTCCTTTTGTCCCCCATCAGCCCTTTCCAGTGATAAAGAAGCCCTGCCGCAATGTGACCCCGAAGCTGCAGATTGTCTGAAGATCAAAGAGCCACATAGCTTTATAGCTGTCTAATGCCTTTATTTTATAAGTAAGCGAACACCCAAGATTACATAGTGCCTTGTCATTTTGGATAGAATTAAAACAAATCTTCAACCAATAATTCTTTACTGCTCCAAAAACTATTATTGGTGAATTGCATCCTAAATCTGTAGATATATTCCAGAATATATCTATAGAAGGAACACAACATGTTAACACTAAACCCCAACATACGCTTGAAGCATAATAATGCTCCCATTTAAATATGAGCAGTTTTCCTATATAACAAATTAAGGATTCACTACTTCCTGCTCCTTTGAGCCACTGTATTACCCCTGCACCTTTCTTATTGCTGTGGGAAACAAGGTACTTTTTAAGTAATCTAAGAAAAGTACAATAAAATATATATACAAATGTATAAGAAAACAAACACAAAATTCCACGTCTAAATATTTAGCACAAAAAATAAGAACTTAATATTTAAGTTAAGAACCACCAGTATACCCATGCAAATATAATTTCATCAAGTTCCTTACTGATTACGTTTTTGAGCCCTCACATTACAATGGCTAGTAGAATCTTGCTTAGAGTAAATATCTGCATGAATGTGCAAACATCATTATTAGATGTTATTCTTAAATACAAAATTTGTTATACTAGATATATTAAGATTGAGATGAAAAGAAACCCATTTGTACATTCACTAAAATTTTTTAATGGCTAAAAAATATCATTCAGGTGTACAATTAATTTCTTATAAGTATAGAATAGATGACCTTTCAAGTGACTGCCATCAAGTGCAATGACATTTACTCTTGAAATGTTATTTCTCTGTTCTTTAAACCATGGCCAAGTTGTCTTGATCCCTTAAATAAAGAGACTATAGGTCACTGGAGGGAAAAAAAAAAAGAGGTGAGTTCTAATCATTGGGAAACAACAACAACAACAACAGCAACAACAAAAATCCTCAGTCATCTCAGGACACCATCAGCTTAAAAGAAGACAGCACTTTTTTGGGAGTATGTTTGACATTTTCCACATATTTCAAGAAGGTCTTACTGATCTAAAATTGTAGCAGATGGAGAAGCAGCAGGTGTGAACTCAGCAACTATACAAGAGACAAGATTCCAAACTAGGCCAGCAACTTACGGTCTTTCACATTTGAGGTGAGGGAATGGATTTACTTTAGAAAAGATATAAAAGTGTGTGTGTGTGTGTGTGTGTGTGTGTGTGTGTATAACATGCATTAAAAGCTATGTTAGTATCTTTCTATAAGACATGCCATGGATCTAGAGCCTAGGAGATGGATGATAGCAAAATAAATAAAACAGAGGAAAGACTTCTACACCAAAGTTAAAAGAAGAAACCTAACTCTGTTTACTGTCCAGACTAATTCAAGTTACTGTGCTTTTTCAATTTATATTCATTTTTAATTATTTTCTTTTTTTATTATACTTTAAGTTCTAGAGTACATGTGCACAACGTGCAGGTTCGTTACATACGTATACATGTGCCATGTTGGTGTGCTGCACCCATTAACTCGTCATTTACGTTCGGTATTTCTCCTAATGTTATCCCTCCCCCATCCCCCACCCCATGACAGGCCCCAGTGTGTGATGTTCCCCGCCCTGTGTCCAAGTGTTCTCATTGTTCAATTCCCACCTATGAAGGTTATTGTGCTTTTAACCTCAGGAATATGCTTCTCTAAAGGCAAATTCTTACTTATTTTGACAACCTCTCCCCAAATACTTGCCCTGCCCGTTATTTCAAAATTATTAAAAAATAAAATCATAGCTATTTTCTCAATCAGAATCTCTGGGTTCAAGTTTTAGCTCTACAATATTCTAGCTACGTGACCCTAGGAAATATATTAGCCTCTGAAAATTAGATATAAATTGGAAATTAAAACATTCACGCTACTTTGTTTTAAAGATTAAATGAGATCTACTATAATTATATTAACGCTTAATAATACCTAGTATTTCTTTATTTCCATTTTCTCATCTTCACTGGTGTAAGAAAAGTCAAAATCTTAACAGCAAGATGTAATAGAATTAAAGTGATATTAATATTTTTTAAAAATATTCAGGTCAAATAAATATACGTTTGGGCTTTTAATATAGTAATTCCTTATATTACTATGGTGACTATTATAAAAAAAAGAGGAGTCCAGGCGCGGTGGCTGACTCCTGTAATCCCAGCACTTTGGGAGGCCAAGCGGGGGTGGATCATGAGCTCAGAAATTCGAGACCAGCCTGACCAACATGGTGAAACCCTGTCTCTACTAAAAATACAAAAACCAGCCGGGCATGGTGGCACGTGCCTGTAATCCCAGCTACTCAGGAGATTGAGGCAGGAGAATCACTTGAACCCTGGAGGCAGAGATTGCAGTGAGCTGAGATCACGCCACTGTACTCCAGCCTGGGTGACAGAGGGAGACTCTGTCTCAAAAAAAAAAAAAAAAAAACAGAAGAAAAAATTTTCAAAAAAAACTTTGAGCAATAAGATCTTAGTGCAAAAGAAACCAAATGAAAAGTGTTTGAAATAAAGTTTCAATCTTTATTACCAATGCATAAATATCTTTCTGTACTTTATCTTGGAGAGAATTTGATAGTTTCCAAAAAGCCTTTTGATTCGGTTAGGACATACACACAGAGATTGAAATCAAATTGCAAAGCAACATCTATTTATGTATTTACACCATCCTAACTTACATGGAAGAAAAAGGAAAGTAATAGAAAAGCTAAAAGTACTACATTCTTATACATATGTTTGAAATAGACTGTACACAAACTAAATATAATCTGCATTTCTTTTGGCTACAACAGAGCACTAAGAAATGTTTTACAGACTGTTCAACTGACTCAATGTTATACTTTTAAATATCAGTGATATAAACAGAATAAGGACATTCTAATATATCTTGGAACTTTATCCACTAAAGAAATGCATTTAAGATTTTGTGTTCTAAATACTCTATTTTAGAATACAAACAAGCAGGGAAAAGCAATCTTGGCTTCCTCATTCTTGGTTCTTTGATAATATCTATAACTTTCCACTTACAGTTTGATTCAAAAGGGCCATGACAAAGGTGAGAGGCACATTCACATTAAATAAAGGGCAGTAGCAAAACTTTGCAAAATTCAAGTTGTCAACAGCTAAATATACCTTATGGTAACAGTCCCTAAAAGGAAGCTAAATTTGTAAGCGAACCACAAGGTTCAAGTTTTCTGAAAAAAGAGCCAATGGTGGATTTTAAGTATCCTTAAATAAGATGTAACTTCTTGCATTTTATATAAAATTTAATGTCCATATGTCTACATAGCTTTTTCTAACTAAAAACATCTATATTCTTCATCCACTTCTAAAGTGGATGTAACCCAGAATAGGTTAAGAAGCTATATAAAGAAGAATAATATTGTGTAATTACTAGAAGCATCTCAGAATAACTGACTAAAACCTTATTTTCACAAAATATATTGCATAAAATATCAGTTCCTGGGGAGTTAAACAGATACGTAAAAATTTGATGAATAAATTAAACTTCTATACTGCAGGATTTTTCAGAGCTATTAACATTTTAATGAGCATTGTTTGTCTCCACGAGTGTGATACAATAAGCAGTTTCACAAATTCGCCTACCCAAGGAAGTTTTCTTAGCTCACAGTGTTGTATGGCTGTGATAGTCCAAGGAAACCGCTTGGAGAAACGGTGATTTAAGACTGCACTTTATGACCAAACATTGAGTGATAGATAATCAAGTAAGGATTTTATAATGAAATTCAAACTAACCAATTTTTAGTGAGTAAAACAGCAACTGTGCCTTTGGAACCATGCTGTTCTCCAATGAGCAATAACCATAATCACACCGCTAAGTAAATTGACTGGCAGGTCCCAAATGGATAAATACTTCTTCACATATTCTTAATCGCTTGGGCAAATTACCTTTAAAGAATACTTTGTCTAGCTTTGTTGTCCCAAAGATCCTTATTATTTCATCCCTAGCTAGTTATCTAGTACACATAAAAAATAGAACTAAGAACAGCAAAAATGGGGTGGAAAGGATAAAAGATAATGTTTCAACTGCAAATTCTAGGAATTACAGTCATTGATAAAATTGTGTATAATGTGACAAGTATAGCCGAGAGCTGTATTTTAGCTTCAGGATTACCAGAATTTGAAGTTTAATCCACTGTTAACCTATGTTAAAACAACCAAAACCAAAAAGAAAGAAATGATTAGCAGAGAATCAAACACGCTGCTGTTAGTTAAACTTGAGTAATAGTGAATTTTCATTGTCATATTGCCTAAGACCTAAACATTCTTTGTAACTGCTTCCAGCGTGATTTTAAAAACCTGTAGGTCTGATGTTCTTTATAAATGAATAGGAAACACATTTTATTTCAACTAAAATCACAGCTGTAACCTAAAGAGAGAAAATGAGATTGCAGGTCGTCCTTTTCCTTCCTCTTTATTTTATCAGCTGTTCAGTTATATCCACCAATTCCATTTAAGCTGACAACTGGTATTTTTCTTTCATTCTCTCTACTCCCACTAATATTATTTTAGCTTCTGAGTTCTCTCCTAACGTCACCAACTTGTTTTTGCCTACATCTGTTCTTCATTAGCCTCCCAGAGAGGTATGTTTTCATTCAACTTTATGGAGTATTCATGATAAGCATGAGACTGAATATTATGTGTTTCTTCCAAGATCCAAGGAAACTGACAATCTCTCAAGGGAGCAAAGGACAAAAATACCTGCTACTTTATCATAGAAAAAGATAAATTTTTCAATATGTGGCTTTCAACGTAGTAAATGAGATATGGCATCACTAACTTGATTCTTCATTTGTAAAATGCTATTTTGATATGGCCTAAGTGTTGCTATGGAAGCTGATATTACTCCTCAGTTGTAAAAGGGCAAGAGACTGTACATTTAAGAAAACATTATGAACATTTTGGGGAACCTATATTGTTAAAAAAAAGCTCTGTTTTAGACATGCAATAATATTTAAAGTGCTGAGCTGATATTTACAATATTTTGTTCTTTAGCAATCATCTTTCTACACTGCTAGAGCACCGAATTATCAAAAATTAATGTGGTACACCGAGCAGTGGAAATGAGCTTTCTAAGAATATAGTTGTCTAAAATATAGTACTTGAATGTATTTAAAATTAAGTTCACTATAGTTTGACAGAATACCTTCTGTATATTTAGATTAAGGGCATATTCTCTCAGCAATATTATTTTGGTAAACTGTAATATTAAATAAGACATTTTTGGAATGGATATTTGAAATTTTGAATGGATACTTGAAATTTTGTGTCATTATGGTTAATGCAAACATTTAGTCTGACTGCAAATTTTCAGAGAAAAATATTTGTTCACTTGTTGGTAGGCAGGAGAAATGTAAAAAGATATTAATGTTTATAATGTGAAAATATATTTATATGCTTAAGGTATACATAAGGTATTAGCTGACAAAAGTAGACTTAAGGTGATAACAGACACCAACTGGAGCTAGATTAAACAAATAAACATATTTTTTAGGAAGATGTTGTCACATCTCACAAAAGCTAGGCTAAAGCTGAAAGACCCAGTCCCAGATAGGCTGGTATCAGAGCAGGTTCCAGGTGTGGGAATTCATAGGCCTCAGGGCCACTAGCATTTGCAATAAAACTGAGCTACCAGAAGCTCCCAGCCTCTGGTTTCTCAGTTCAACTTTCTAAATTCCTAGGATCTTCTGATTGCCACAGCTTAAATAAGCCATCCATATCAACCCAATCAACTGCAGCAGGTGAAGCAGGTCATATAGCAGTGCCATGGCTGGTAGAGACCCACCTCACTGTAACAGGGACAGTTTCCAGAAAAGTAGAACTCTTGACAACTAGACACTAATCCAAGAGTTATTCTACAACTCAAATGAGTATGATCATTTATCAAATTAAATTTCAATGACTATCAAAGTTGATGACTGCATCTTTCAGATTTCATTTCATTGGTATCCATTATGAGTCATGCTCAATTCAATTTTATTAGAAAATATATGCATGTGCGTGTATGTAAACATGATAACTTTGCCATGTAATTAATATGGTTGATGCTAGTAATGTTTACACAGTTGATTTAAAATTAACCTAGCGCTCTTAATGGAGATTATTTTATAATATGTGGAGAGGCTTCTGCCAAGAATGTTAGTGTCTACTTCCAACAAGCTTGAACAGAAGAGGTGCAGCCTGGAGCCATCTAGATTAGACCCCCAACACATCAGATTGGCTTGAATAAGTCAGTTTTAGATCAGTTTTAATGACTATCAGAGTTGATGGCTGCATCTTTCAGATTTCATATTTGTTTGCCAGTTACAAGCCGGTTATCCTCCTACTGGGCAATAAACCTAAAGGGCATATTCAGTCTTCCTTGGAAGTACACAGAGAGGAGTATTACAAAATGTATTCAATTTTATTTTTATGAGGATGCACTTTGATTTTTAAAAAATCTCAACTCAATTGGCTTAATTTTTTTTCACTCCATGCATTTGCAAAATCTGGAATGTAAATGTAATCATTCAGCTTGACTGAATTTTATAGGAAGTGTACAACTTAGTTGTATGAATAAAAGAAGAAAATAACCTTTCTACATACTGATGCATTTATTAGAAATATATGGGTTCGATGCCTTTTTAGAAATAAGCTGGGGTTTCCTTCTGCACATTAGTAAGTATTAAGAGAGGCTGTTTGTTTGTTTGTTTGTTTGTTTGAGGTGGAGCTTCGCTCTTGTTGCCCAGGTTGGAGTGCAATGGCACGGCCTTGGCTCACTGCAACCTCTGCTTCCTGGGTTCAAGCAATTCTCCTATCTCAGCCTCCCAAGTGACTGGGATTACAGGTGCCTGCCACCATGCGCAGCTAATTTTTATATTTTTAGTAGAGACGGGGTTTCACCATGTTGGCCAGGCTGGTCTTGAATGCCTTACCTCAAGCGATCCACCTACTTTGGCCTCCTAAAGTGCTGGGATTACAGACGTGAGCCACTGTGCCCGACTGGTATTAGAGTTTTTTTACTGCTCTCAGATTAAAGGATTTTACTCTGTTACTAACTGCACGTGATGAAGTTAATAAAGAAGTTATTTGACTTGCTTTCCAGGCAAGTTGGTAATCATGTGTCAGCCGTATTTGCTTTTAATATTTAGAACTTACCAAGAAATTCAGTGACAATACAAGTGGCACACAAGGGAGCAAAGAAGACACTGAGTCCTTCAAATTACTACTTAATGTTTTTGATTTTTAAATAACAAAAGCCATAGTTACTCTTCTGCCCACCCTATAGTGGCATAATGAGGTGATCAGTAGAAATTGGGGGGTGACTCTTTAGGATTACTGTTAACTGAGGAAAGATCTGACTTCAGTGGCTCTTGTGAGAGACCTCTGTGGTCAAAAATAGCTAAATTTGTCCCCTCCCGCCTCTGAAAATAAGCAAGCACATAACTCCTTTAAGGAATTCCCTTTGTTGCATCTTGGTAGTGGAAAATGGAGAACAGGAAATTGCAAGATGAAGAGACAGGCTGTCATTGTGGGAGCAGCTGACTGCTGAGCTGTGGTAACATAAGTGGGGCTCAAGCAAGAACAGAGATGACAGAAAATACAACAGAATCCTTTGTACATTCAGAGGAGCTGTTAGATTCTGGGCCAGACACCAGCAGTGCATGTAAGACAGGAAGTAAGCATGGACGTCTGAGAGATGAAAACCTTGCTGTTTTTTATACTGCCACATGGCATGTGTGGAAACACCAGGGAGCTCCACAAAACTCCATTTTCCTCATCCTTCCTTTCTTTGGGAGAAGGAAAACATACTTTGAGCCCTTGACCCTCACCCTCAAGGATGTAAACAAGTTAGAATAACATTCCCTCTGTGATAGCATGCCACGCTGCCTTGAAAGGAATTGCACTGGGAATGAAAGGCAGAGGTTTCTGTGAGTAGAGATAAGGGAGGCTGTGAAAACTGAATCCATTATGTTCCACTGGTTGAAGCAGCATTACTGGAATTTCACTGGTATCCCTTCTGAGTCATAATCAATTCAATTTTATTGGAAAATATATGCCTGTGTGT
The DNA here is from genome assembly GCF_000001405.40 of Homo sapiens. Taxonomy (NCBI): domain Eukaryota; kingdom Metazoa; phylum Chordata; class Mammalia; order Primates; family Hominidae; genus Homo; species Homo sapiens. The sequence continues at coordinate 89,708,788 of NC_000004.12, read as the reverse complement.
GTATACAAACATGATAACTTTGCCATGTGATGAATATTGTTGATGCTAGTAATGTTTATACAGTTGATTTAAAATTAACCTAGAGCTCTTACTGTAGCTTTTTTTATAATATGTGGAGAGGTTTCTGCAAAGAACGTTAGTGTCTACTTCCAACAAGCTTGAACAGAAGGGGTGCAGCCTGGAGCCATCTAGATTAGACCCCCAACACATCAACACATCAGATTAGCCTGACCAAGTCAGTTTTAGATCAATAATAACTGTTAGCTTACCTGTGATCTATTTCTTATTGTGAATCAAATTCATCCCAGTGGACAGAACCCAATTCCAATGTCAGCCCTTAAAATTAGCTTCATTCTATTTACACTATATTACAAGCAACCAATTATTGTATTTAGTGAAAGTCATCACACAGGCCATAAAAGAAATCTAATATTTATATTTTCAATAAATAGAGTAATTACATTGTGTTAGACACTAAACTAAGTACTTGCAACTCATTTTGAATATTGCCTGGTGGAGAAGAAATGTATCAAACAAGAAGATAGAATGAAGTTTGATGCTACTGATGGTTATTAGCTTTCTTATTTGAAATGGAACAAAACACCAGAAAATGGAACTGCACAGGCTAGTACAACACATCAGGCTTTTGAGAGGTTCAGTGCAAGTACTAATTATAAAGACAATGGAATCAGATGGCTCTTGCTGAGCATAACTGATGCATTGGAGGAAGACACCAAAAGGTTGAGGGTAATTAATCACACCTCAAAAGCAAAATGTGAAAGTCAGAGGTCCTCGTTGGCAGCATATAAAGTAACTGTTATCTTTTACAGCTATAGACAGACAGAAAAAAACAGAGGATCAGGGCCAGTAGCAGAGCACCAGAGAAGGCTAAAGTCTCAACTGCATCAAGCCAAGGCTCTTGTTGAAAAGGGGTGAGACTCTGAGAAGTGCGACGGTGCCATGTGGGTAGACAATATTGAAGCCCCAGATCCTCTCGAATTCTCTGGGTTTACAGGAACGTCCAACTCCTTCCAGCTAAATACTATCACTTTCCTCCTGTTTGAAGACAATGCAGCAGTCTCTAGCTTGCAACCCCACCTAAGAACCTAGCCACACCTCCTTTCCTAACCACCAGACCAATACGTAGCATCAAACCACAACATTAACTGGCTAGTGAAGTACTGAGACAGAAAGGAGGAAATGGAATAAATGAACTATATCCCAAAGAAGCTCCATGATCCAGGCAACATATACCAGTAGCAACCAGAAAATGATGTATAGGACTAGATCCTGCAGTTGCTGGATTAAGAGACTGGAGGATGGGTGGAACAAAAGTCTGAATAATGAGGAGTTTATTGACATAGTAGTATTCTCCCACAATACCAGGTCTAATTACCTGGCAAGCACACCAAGATATTGTGCTAATATGCTGGTTGGATTTCACTTCGAGGTTTTGGGGGACAGCAGTGGCCCATAGTAACTGAAATATAAATGGAGCAAGTGCAATGGCAGATAATGGAAAAAGGCATGCTACAGTGAATATTAATGTAAGCTTAGAAAATCTGCCATCTGAACACGTTCCACGGGTGGAGTTGAAGGACACTTCTTTTACCAAAGTGCTAAATTATGCTCTGGTGAGAGAGGCACCAATATCATTGAGAAACTCAGTAGTGACTGTTCCTCTGTTGGTAAAGAAAAACAGCAGGAGATTCTGTTACACAGCTGGACTCAACTGTTACACAGCTGGACTCAACTGTTACACAACTGGGCCAATAATATGATTTGGAATGACAGAATTCCAAAATATAGATATGAGGTGGTGGCATTTTATTGTCGAAGCAAGGAGGTTACAAATAATGCAATGAGCAGCCAGCCATGGTGGCTCACGCCTGTAATCCCAGCACTTTGGGAGGCTGAGGCGGGCGGATCACAAGATCAGGAGTTCAAGACCAGCCTGGCCAAGATGGTGAAACTTCATCTCTACTAAAAATACAAAAATTAGCCAGGCATGGTGGCGGATGTCTGTAATCCCAGCTACTCAGGAGGCTGAGGCAGAGAACTGCTTGAACCTGGGAGGCGGAGGTCGCAGTGAGCTGAGATCGTGCCACTGCACTCCAGCCTGGGTGACAGAGCGAGACTCCGTCTCAAGAATAATAAATAAATAAATAAATAAAGCAATGAGTTTGAGCAGCAAGACTGGCATGACAATCTGGGGTCCTGAACCACAGGACACCATGGAAATGGTTAATAAAACATAGCTTCCTAAGGGCAGATAGATTGTAACCTAAAATGAAACTGCTCAGTTCATATAACCAAAATAAATCAGAAGTAAAGGCCGAGGGCACCAGGACTAATGAAATGCTTCAAATGGTTGTCTGTTTCCATATCTGAGACAATTTTCAGATCTGAAACATATGAGCTGAAGGGCAAACTGGGTTCTCAGGAGGAAGAACCCTGCCTGAACAGGCAAATGGACAAATATGTAGGAAAGTGATTCCCACAGTCTTTCTACAAAGGGGCTTATAGTTATTCATACAAGGAACCATACACAAAAGAGGAATACAAAATATTAGTGTTAGACACTAAGTTGGCTTAGACTAAATCTAAAATGCTCACAAATGTAGAGTATATAATACATGCAATACTGTCATGGGTTGTCACACAGTGAGTCCACAAGGTCCCCAGAACCAACCAGTGGCCATTTCTCTGATCTTGGCCCTGACTATGTAATTGGTGTAGACATACTGGATTGATATTAGAACTCTCACAAGTGTTTCTGTCCTGATTGGGAGAATACATTGTAGTGAGGAAGGCTACATGGAAACCTCTGAAACTCACCAACTCCTTTCCCGCTGGCTGAGTTAGTAAATAAAAAAACAATATTGTATCTTGAAGACAATGGCAGAGATCAGTGCCACCTTTAAAGGCTTAAGAAATACAAAGGCGATGGTCTGCATTATATCCCAAATTAGTTCACTAGTCAACCAGATAAATTCTGTTTGCTGTACTGGATGTGGAATAATTAACATGGGCTCAAATACATGGAGTGCTGTATGGCCATTACTTGGGCAAATGTCTTTATTTCCATTCCTGATAAGAAGAAGGACCAGAATAAGTTTAAATTCATTTGAAACAGACAGCAATGTACTTTTATGGTCTTCCCATAAGCCTGTGTGAACTCTTCTGTCGTCAGTCCTAACATAGTCTGAAAAGATCTATACTGTCTAAACATTTACAGAATATCATATTAATCCACTATATAGACAACACCATGTAATAGGACTAGATGAGCAAGAAGTGGCAAATATGTTAATAAAATATGATTTTGGTTAAACACATGACTTCCAGGAGATGGGAGATAAACCCCATGAAGAATCAGGACCAACTGCATTGGAAAATTTGAGAGTCCCAAAGGTCTGGGCAATATTTGGACATCCCCTTGAAAATAAATGACAAATTATTGCATCTCACACATCCCACCACTAAGTACAGAGCATCTTGGGGTCCAAGAGACAGAATAGTCCACCACTGGGAATAGTACTCTAACCTTCAGCAGATGGCATGGAATACAGCCAAATTTGAATAGGATTCAGAGTAGAAAAGTACCTTGCAGCAGATTCAGGCTGCTATGAGAACAACTGTACCATCTAGACCACAGTGTTGTGAAACAACTAATATTTTTCATTTCTGCATGATCCAGGATTTCTGAGTAAAGGATGATTGAATAGCAACCTGAAAGATAAATCCTCCCTGGAGCCATTTGCTTATATTTCAAAATGGTAAAGAAAAGCTAGAGATTTCCTCTTCCTCTCCCTGGAGAAGATTTGTCTACATTGCAAAGCAAAAATCCTTCTCTAGGGAGGAGGAGGAATAGATGCACCAGATGCCCTACTTAAGCTCTGATTCTCATAATTTTTGGATTCCTCTTCTGTAGCAAAACCTCTATATGCGCAGGTGATATCTGGCCCTCATTGTGTTGCCCAAAGGAGAACTGGGGCACTGCTGAGATGATCTGCAAATAAATGATGTGTTCTTTCATCCAGAAGTAATGTCTCAGATCCTTCACAGTTTCAAACTTAAAATTGTTATACATAATTTGTGGTGGAAAAACACATGTTGTGTGGAATTTCGCACAAACCCTAGTAGGAGTTTCACAGCATAAATCCTAAGGATTCTGGAACATGACCATGTCATCTGCAGTAGAGAATTAAACACCATTTGTAGAACATCTCCTGGATTGCTCCTTAGCCATAATAGAGATGAAGAGAATACAGCTTGTTGGCATCAGCCGTGAAGATGCATGACAGTTTTATGAGAAGGCTGATGAATAAGGGTCTGAAAATGATGATGAAGAGCACAGAGTGTTCAAATCCTGCCTGTCAATGCTAAGAGGTAAGAAATGGGAGAATACATAGCCTTGCTTGAAAGAAGAAAATGTTAATCAAGGTCTTTCAGGGAGAATGAAATTTTATTTAAATCCAAGATGTGCAAAGTACTTTGCAAAGAGTTTAGTCATCTCTAGAGCTCATTAATCATGGAATGGTGGACTTAGAGAAGGAGTTTAGAAGGATCAGAAGAGAGACGGGATCAAGGAACAGAAGGAAAAAGCATTATTGATAGGAGAATAAGACAAAACAACTCTTATCCCAAAAGAGTCTACACTTGAATGATGGTTGAAAAAATAAGGAGGTGAAGCAGGTTGATGTTGGGTGCCAAAGAGAAGCGCAAGATAGTCAGCGATGAGTAATGCAGGTTTTAACTGTCATCAGGGCGGGAGGCCAAGCAATAGCAGCTACAGCATAGTGGGGTGATTTTCAAACGTTTGATGGCTGACAGTGATGGCAAAGGCAGTGGAGGAAGAGATTCCCCATCTCCTCTGAGATCTACAGGAACCCAGCTGTATATTCAATTCAAACAAACATGCCTATTTTCAGAGAGAATTTACAAAATTCTAGGAGCCTGCTAGGCCTATAGTCTCCTTTGAAGCACAAATAATTCTGTTTTTGGGCTAGTGTGATAAAAGCAAACAAACCTCAATCTACTGGACACTGCTAAAGTAACTGTCTAGGTGGAAATGCAGAGACCACTGTAGATGATAATGAAGCTAACCCAATCAGATTTGTGGGGAGAAACTATGAGAGGTCTAGGTACACAGGAGAGGCCAATGTCACTGGCCTTCATGCTGTATCCCTGATGATACTAATTTATTATCCCAGGGCTATCTGAAGCCTACTGTACTGAAAGGCTGAATGTCTGAGGAAACATCATATGATAATAATCCCATATCCATTTCCCTATGTGCTTACCTTCATTGGATAGGTAAACTAGGTACCATTCTTTCCTATTAATATAAATAATTTTGCTACAATAGCTAACTTTTCCCGAGGGCTTAAATGTGCCTAACACCGGGCATGGTTTATAAGCTTTATTTAGTTTTATACTTAAATAACTCAATTTGCTTGGCTCTGTTATAATAACCGTTTTTGTCACAGAAAGGAAACCAAAGTTAAAAAAAGGTTAAGTAACTCGAGTCTCACAAATGGCAAATTTTGGAGCTTGATTTCAAACTCAGGTGGTTGAAATCAGAGGCCCTGCACGCAACCACTAGCCACATTGGTGTTTCTCTTTTCACTTTGCTTATTCCTATCCATCTTCCCTTGGGATTCTTTCCATTAGGACAGTTGAATACATTTGTTGCAGTCATAATATTATGTTTTCTCAGACAGTAATAAGTAAAGTGGCAGACAGAGATAACCAAAAGAAAAGGAAGGGGGCATTGGTTAAAGTGAATGGAGTAAATTCATTTAGAAAGCAAATGATTTTTTGGTCAAAGTGGCAGAAAGTGGAAAACAGTTAATGCTTGATAAAATCTATTTATAAATCTGCCTTTTATTCACTTAATTCTGAGAGATTGAAATTGAAATATAGTTGATATTTGACACATAGTTGAACAAGTGGAAATGAATATATAAAATATATATGTGAGAAAATTGCATTTTTATTGAGCATAAAATCTAGAATTAAAATTTAGGTTTTGCATTTGTGGCTCTACAAAATGGACTTGCAGCTTTTCCTCACTTGGCTAAAAGGTGGCAGCTAAACTGTACTCTGTTTTATAGGTTTGAACTATGATAGTTATTTGAGGTAGATTACATTTCCCCAAAATTTCTAAAAATACAATCTTTGCTGTTTTAATGCTCTTTCACAGTATTACCACTCCTCATTAAGGTGTAAAGTCTATTTCTCCTCCCCATAAAATTGGGCTAGCCTTTGTGACTACATTAAAAAAAAATGAAATATGAGTGATGCCAAGTGGCTTTCTAGTCTAGGGCACTGCAGCATAATAGGTGATACTGCTTCCACCTGGCTCACATTCTCTCTCTCTCCTCATCTTTGACACCCAGCCACCATGTTGTGAGGAAGCCCAGGCCACATGGAGAGGCCATGCCATGTGTACATGTTCCAGCTGACAGCCCCAGAGAAGGACACAGTGCACAGCCAGGAATAATTTCCAAGTAAGTGAATGAGCAAGCACTTAGCCACACAAAAGATACCAGTCCCCAGGCCACAGGCTTCTGTCCAAATGCAGAAGTTATTCCCATTCTTCAGTTTCCAAGTTTGATGTTCATTCTCAAAGAAATTTTCTCTGAACTCTCATATTCTATTAAGTTGCCCTTTTATATGTTATTATAATGCCTCATGAATCCCCTCCATAATGTATATAACATGTAAATATATGTCTACTTATATAATTATATAATTATACAAATCTAATTTGTATAATAATTTATATTTGTATAAAATTATTCATTATGAAATAAATATATATTTATATTCTATATATATCACGGAAGAGCTGTATCTTTCTGGTTCCCCATATGTACTCAGTTTTTTAACTTTGACATTTGGTAGGCCCTCAATACATATTTATTGTGTAAATTAATTGTTACTCCAGTGTTACTTCTAAGGGACTCAAGTTACAGTGGTTTAAGAGTCCCTACAGGCTCAGAAAGACTTTGGTATTTGCACTCTACTAGATTGGTAGGGGATGGTAGAAGACTGTCTAATCAGCATGGTTTTCAATTTTGCATTTATGTCTTCATAGAAAAGTAAGTGTGATTTTGTTTATTTTATAGAAATAAGGAACTCATCTGAGCAGATTTGATTGTAAAATTACTTTTCCTCCCTTGGAACATATAAATGACTCCTTTCAAAGTGTCTCTTCTTTCTGTGCTGTGTTCTGCCATCATTTATTATTCAGAAAATGAGGCTATCGTGTAAAAGGCAGAAAAGAAAGAAGGGAGCCTGGAAGATAGATGCTGCAAATTTAATCCTGGCCAAATGACCGAGGGGCGGGGTGACCTAGACCTGGATATGTTTTAAATCTTCCCAGGCCTGTGCCTCTGTAAAAGATTGTAAACAAAGTTTTCCTGAGGAAAACAAAGGCATATAATGTACATATATTTCTAGTGATATATGTGGCACAATGTAATGCTATGTGAAGCAATGATAAAGATCTTTGAGATCTGTTTCAGGGGCAGCATGCTAAATAGTAAGAATAAGTGCTGTGAAGTCAAGCAGAACTTGAACCTGATTCTTCTGCTTTTAGCTGAGCCTTGTCTTTAAAGTGGTGTATAATTAGAACTAAATGACATAAAGCATGTAAAACACTCCATACAGTAAGCTGTCAAAAATTATACTACCTTTTCCTGAATAATACTAAGAAATTAAATAGTGAGCTGTTTTTTATCTTAACTGAATCAATGCTAGTATTCTGGTTGTAATATTATACTATACTTGTGCACTATATACGTGTTACCACTAGAGGAAACTGGGTAGCTGGTACATGGGATCTCTCTGTCTTACTTTGTACAACTGTGTGTGAATCTACAATTAGCTCAAACAGTTTAATTTTTTTAAATCTAGACTGAGAGGGAGAGGAATCTCCACTCAAACAATGGTTCAGCTGAGAGAATCTTTAGAAATTCTATTATTCAAGCTCCATCACTTCACAAATGATGTAAGGAAGCCCAAAGATATTAGGTGATTTAGGCAACACATAGTCACCAGCAGAGCTGCAAAAAAACATATGATGTCCCAGTTACATGTTGCTTTTATAACACAAATTTAAATATATTTTTGAGGAGAGACCCTTGGCATCTAAGTAGCCTTTTCTCTTTTAGCTCCGGAGTTGCTTGCATTTTGTATCTACAGCCTTTTACAAAGATGACTATTTTTTTCTGGGCAATATTTGTAGTTCTTTATACTAATATAGATTTTCACAAAATCCTTTCATGTAATAATTTAAGAAAGTATCTGTTGATAAATAACCTTGATATTGGGTGGCTGGGCATGGTGGCTCATGCCTGTAATCCCAGCACTTTGGGAGGCCAAGGTGGGCGGATCACCTGAGGTTGGGAGTTCGAGACCAGCCTGGCCAACATGGTGAAACCCCGTCTCTACTAAAAATACAAAAATTAGCTAGGCACGGTGGCAGGCACCTGTAATCCCAGCTACTTGGGATGCTGAGGCAGGAGAAACTCTTGAACCCGGGAGGCAGAGGTTGCGGTGAGCCAAGATCATGCCATTGCACTCCAGCCTGAGAACAAGAGCGAGACTTTGTCCAAAAAAAAAAAAAAAAAAAAAAAAAAAAAAAAAAAACAAGAAGAAGAAAAGAAAAGAAAAAGAAATTGGGAACAAGCTTGAATAAGGAACTAGAATTTAGGATTTCTGCTGTCAGTTTTCTCTTGCTGCTCTTTGACAGAAATGCCTTTGAGAGGTTGTATGAATCAGGTCTTACTGTCTATAGAAAAGAATAATGTTGTAGCTAATAATATATCCATCACATCTTTTTTGAAACATAATGGGAAAAATTCAACATTTATAAATAAAACACATTGCAGACATACTAATTGGAATATCCAGTATGAAACATTATACAGGGCTAACGAGGCTTTTGGGTAATGTCTTAAAGGACCCCAGACATCCCCATCTCAAAATGCTCTACCTCTTTGATTGGCTTTTTTTTCTGTAACTTTGCCATTATGTTTTTATTCCTATTGGTTGCATAAGTACATTTGGATGTAAACACTTCAAAAGAAAGCTTTTTGTTACCACTATTTTATATTGCCTCCAAACAGAAAACTAGCTGAAACCAACATTCTGAGATGATAAGAGATGGGATAACTAAATTCTGTAGAAGGAAACATTAAGCCATGATGAGAAAGAACTGGTCTTCATAGGCCACTGCAGTGGGAAACAACACAGAACGCTTCAGTTATGGTGGGAGGAAGACAGTAGATAAAATAGGGAGAGAAATATTAAAAAGGTTTAAGAGAAGACATCTTAGAAATACATCTTACTACTTTACTGTTTTGTCCAATGTATTTCTTAATCAGCATAATGATATTAACAGCACAAAGACAGCATTTTCCCAGAAAGTGTACTAATGAAATTTAAATGAGAAAATATAGAAATGGTTATTTATATAGTAAAATTAAATTATTCATAAATGTTAGGTGTGACTTTTATCAAAAACATGTTAAAGTTATTAAAATTGACATGCAAAGTGATAGGGACATATAGGATATAAAATGTTCATACCCACAAGAAATCATCTGTGTATACTAAAGGAGAATCTGATAAATATGTTTTAGTGCTTTAACTGTAAGTTCTGATATTAGAATGAAATTTGAATTTTTCTACCAGTTGACTGAAAGTTCCAGCTAAAATAATATATGTATATTTCTCACTTTTACAAAAACAATTAGATTTGTTTTCCATGCTCTTGGCTGTATTCTAGGATAGCTCTACATGAGTATGTCACCTCAGCCCTCAAGAGATGAATCAGGCTTAAAGTTAATAGCACACACACAGTTAAAGATGAAAAATTGATGTTGTTTCAGTATAGATACAATCAAGCCACAGTTTGGATTCTATTTGAATTCACTGAACTTAGTAATACATTAGAAAATAGAAAAGTATTTTTTATGTTTCTTTCTTAAGTATGTATAATTTTTTATTATTCAGAATTCCATATCTGAATTGCAGCCATTATTTGAGGAAAGTGGGTGTATGACACTAATAATTTTCTTAGTGTTTGTGACAATGTTAACTGTTTCTCTGAAATGGATGAAATCTCTAAAATGGTGGGAAAAATACTTAGGGCGCTGCTTCTACTACTACGGTTTCTTTAAACTTTTTTTTTAATTATGAAAAGAATAAAACTCTAACACTGCAGAAGAGCAAAACATGATAGTATCTTTTAAATTTCAACTCTCTCTAAGGTTAACTATTATATAATATTATTGTAAAAGTTTATCGAGCATCCTTGAAAGCCTATTTCTTCCAGTTACAAAAAATACACACAGATTTTACAAATTGCATTAGTCCATTTTTGTATTGCTATAAAGAACTGCCCAAGATGGGGTAATATATAAAGGAAAGAGGTTTAATTGACTCACAGTTCAGCATGGCTGGGAGGCCTCAGGAAACTTACAATCATGGGGAAAGGTGAAGAGAAAGCAAGGACCTTCCTCACAAGGTAGAAGGAAGAAGAAGTGCAGAGCAAAGGAGGAAGAGCCCCTTATAAAACCATCAGACCTCATGAGAACTCACCCACTATCATGAGAACAACATGGGGGAAACTGCCCCCATGATTCAATTACCTCCACCTTGCCATGTGGGGATTATGATAATTATGGGGATTATAATTCAAGGTGAGATTTGGGTGGGGACACAAAGTCTCACCATATCACAAATGCACACACATACATACACACATAATATACTATTTATATTGTTTTGTTACTTGCTTTTTCACTTAATAGGTTATGTAAATTAGCTAACTATATTTGTCAATGTTATTTAGAATATTTCCAATTATTTGCTGTGCATGATAAAATAATGTTATGAGTGTCCTTTTATTATCTTTCTGTACATATGTACAAAAATGATGATAGCTCACTAAGAAATAATGTTCTTAATCCATTTTTAACTTTTTCATATATTGCCACATTTCTCTCTATAAAAGCTGGACACATTTACGCTCCCACCAATAGTGAACCAGGGCCCATTTCCCACATAACTAATTTAAACCTCGTAGACCAGTTCTGCTCAGTAGAATTGTCTGCATTGATGTAAATATTCTGTATCTATGATGTCTAATATAGTAGCCACTAGCTATATATGACTACTGAGCACTTGAAATTTGGGTGGTACAATTAAGACATTAAATTTTTAATTTTATTTAATTTAGATTTAAAAAGCCACATGTGACTAGTGTTTACCATATTGAACTGCATAACTATACCCGGAATGGGATCTGGTTTATTTACAAGCTTGATAATCTTTTATAACTTTTAAAGTGGTTTATTGTTCAGTATCAATTATTTAACCTAAGAAATTTTGCCTGCATATTTCTGCTTTTTTGCTACTGTATTGTGTCTTTTATCTTATTGACTTACAAGTAATATTTTCCTGATATGCTGATTTCTACTGGATGTTTATTAATACTTAATCTACTATATAGGATGCAAATATTTCATTCTGGGCTCCTATTTATTCATAGATATTTTATGCACTTGGTACTATTGTGAGTTACATATTTGTTTTTCAGTATTACCTGGTTGGTAATGACTTGTGTACATGAAAACTATTGGGTTTTGTATATTTAGATAATGTCTTGTCAATTCACCTACCTAAGCTATTAGCACTAACTTTTGGGGGGTTTTCATTAAAATTATTTTCTAATAAACATGTATTTTTAAATCATTGTTTGAAAATAATTGCAGCTTTGTGGCTTCCTATGTAATAATTATATCTCTCTTTATTTTTCTTTTACTGGTCTGACTGAATGCACTAGAAAATCCAGAAAAATACTGAATGATAACAGTAATATGGTAGTCACAATTCTTGTGTTATTTAATATTAATGGGAAACATTTGATAGTTTATTATTAATTGTGATATATATGTCTCTTTCTATAAATATCCCATGTAAAGATGAGGAAATCTAATTTCTGCATTAACATTTAATCCATAAATAAATTCATTAATAATTTTTAAATGTAAAATCAGTTTAAATTATTGGTATATTCATTATAAGCCCATCAACACTTTTTTATAATTATTGCTTTTCGCAGTTGCCTTTTAAATCAGACAGAAGAGTTACTAATAAAAATATATTTATAATGTTTTATATTTATTTATGTAGTTAATTTTAACAGTAATTCTTGTGTCTTATGTGAATTCAAGTTGCTCTTTGGTATCTCTCATTTCAGCCTAGAAAGCCCCATTTAGTAATTCTTTTAGGGCAGGTCTGCTAGGGATTAATTTTTCAGAATTTTTGTCTGGGAATTAATTTTCTCTTTATTTTCACAGGAAAATTTATTTGGGTATATAATTCTTTATTGGCAATGATTTTATTACAACACTTTGAAAATGTTATTCCATTTCTGGCCACCATGGTTTCAGATAGAAAGTTATTTTATTGATCACTTATAGGTGATGAGTTGTTCTCAAAATTCTCTCTTTGTCCTTGGCTATTGACAATTTTACTATGATTTGTCTAGGTGTGGATCCCTTTTAGTTGATTCTATTTTGAGTTCCTTAATCTCCATGCATGTGCAAATTAGTGTTTTTTATCAAATAGGAAACAATTTATACTACGATTTCTTCAGATATTCTTTCTGCCTCTTTCTTTCACTCCAATCCTTCTGGGACTTTATTATGCCTATGTTGGTGTGCTTGATGATGTCCCACATATCCCTGAGGCTCTGCTCAACTTTTTTCATTCATATTTCTTTGTGTTCCTTAGAATTGATAATCTCAATTGATCTATCTTTAGCTCCATTGATTCCATCTTCTCCCATTTCAAATCCGTTTTTGAGTCCTTCTAGTAAAATTTTTATATCATTTAATTTTTAAGTGCATTATTTCTACTTTACTTTAAAATTATTTCTACCATTTTATTGATATTTTCTATTTGAGATAGTCTCATATTTTTATTTAATTTTTTAAACATGGTTTCCTTTAGTTCTCAAAGATATTTATAATATCTGATTTAAAATCTTTGACTAGTAAGTACAAGGTCTTAATAGTCCAGTAGCCTTTCTCAGGGATAGTTTCTATTGACTATTTATTCCTCCACCTCTGCCCCCCAACACCATATATAAAGGGCATACATCTATCTCATTTATTTGGGTATCTCAAGATTTTTTATTGAAAAGTGAAGCATTTAAAATAAACATATTGTGGCAACTCTGGAAATCAGATGATAATAAGGCTTCCAGGACTTGCTACTGTTGCTATTTGTTGTGCCTCTCTTTGTTTATTTTTCTTTTATTTATTTGTGATTTCCTGGACTAATTCTGTCAAGTCTGTATTCTTTAATTTAGTCATCAGCTAGCGATTGGACAGGGATCTCCTTACATACCTTAGACCAATAAGTTTCACAGCCTTTGCTGACCGACTCTGTGTTTATGTTCAGGAACATCTTCAACACTTCAGATAATTTACAGTTCTGCCTTAACCTTTACTTTTGATTTTACAGCAACTAAAGGTCAGCCATAGGTGAGCAATTAAGACCTTCTCCAGTGTTTTCTGTACATGTTCAGCGTCCTGCACATGCATGTGGCCTTCTAGATTCCCAGGAATGTGTGGAGCTTTTAAATATCCTCTAAAGTCCTTTCATTCCCCAGTTTTTCCTTTTAAGTTTCTTAGCCACTTATTAGCCCTAAATGGGATCTCTGCTTAAGGAAGCTGTCTTGTTAAACAATTACCAATAGTTGCTTTAGACACACACCTGGGAATTTGGCTATTCTCACAGAGAAAGCTCTAAGTCAGGCCTTTATCAAATAAAGATAAACCTGCCACACCTATAATTCTAGCACTTTGAGAGGCTGAGGTGGGAGGAACACTTGAGGCTAGGAAATTGAGACATGCCTGGGCAAAATAGCAAGACTCCTGTCTCTAAAAAAACAAAAAATTAACTAGGTGTTGGTCAAGCACATGTAGTCCTAGCTACTTGGGAGGCTGAGGTGGGAGGATCATTTGAAATTAGGAGGTCAAGGCTGCAGTGAGTCATGATCATGTCACTGCACTCCAGCCTGGGTGACAGAGTGAGACTCTTTCTCTAAATAACTAACTAAATAAAATAATAATAAACCTTGAGAATGAAGTTTTTCAGGTAGCTTCCACACAGGTCAAATGGTCATTTCGCATGTGGATTTGGGTGATTTCTAAACCCTTCTTCCCATCCAGTGACTGCTAGGCTGTTGTTTCTCAGTTACTGCGAGTGTAAATCTATTGGTCTTAAAGGATATCATGAATTTGAATGGGCATAAAGTAAGTTCAAGCACCACAAAGCTCATTGTTACCAAGATCCAATTATTTTTCTAAAATAAAAGTTCCTCAGATTGTTGAAAAGCTTCAGTTAGTTTCCAGAGTTCTGAAAAAGTTGATTTTGACTTTTTTTTTTTTGCCAGTATCTTCATTGCTTTTATGGAGGAGGAGTTTGGGGAGGGTTTTACTACAACCTTCCCTTCTCCTTTTATTTTAAAACAATTATAGTGGATTAGAAATGTGTCTAGGGATTGATAATGAAATGTTGTATAATCAACAACATTTATATTTAACAAAATAAAGTTCAAGGTGAATTATAGAGAGCCGAAATATTTTATTTTGATTAAATACATAATAGTTATGGTCTTGGTATTGCAAATAACATGTCTTGGAAATGTTTAGATGTAGAGAGAGAAATAAACAAAGTCACAAGGTCGAGGCTTTAACATACCACTCTAAGAAATAAGTACACATAGCCAAAAACAACATACTATTACAGTATTATACAGTATTCTGACACAGCTAGGTTTCAGAAATCATTATACTTGACAAAAAGGATAATTTACATTCTTTTTAAAATCCCATGTAACAATTACAAAAATCTCTTTAGTAACAAAGAAAATCTCTAGAAATTCTCAAAAGTAGTCTTTTAATGCATGGCATTTTCTGAACACAATAAAACACTAGTTGATAGAAAAAAGACAGAAAAAGGAATAAAACAAGCCTACCTAATTTGAAATAAGCACTTTTCTACATAACTCAGATTAAAGAGAAAACCAAAACTAACAAAATTTTTAGAAGACTATTACTATTTTAACTTTCAAGAAAACTATGTTTTCAAATAGCAGCTATTATTATTTTGTGGATACATTAATTTCTTTACACTCCCTGAGGATACAAATTTCAAATAAATATTGTCCTATTTGTATTTCCTCAGTCTTAAAAGCAGATTTTTACAGTCCAAAATATTATAATATCTATAATCACATTTCCCAGAGGCAACCATTTTTGGCACGATTTCGTGCTATAGTAGTTATCTCCTTAATTATGAATAAAATAACTATATTTCTATTTCATGGTTTAACAATTTTAGACATTATGTACTGTCTCCTCTCTTGGAAAGATTAAGATTTACTCACATTATATACTGTTTCTTCTTGCCTTTGTCATTTTTACACTTGGTATTTTATTTTTAACACCCCTTAATTAATTTTAAATAATATTCCTAAGCCATTCTTTCTCATAACAATAACTTTAGTATATAAACTACCCACTATGTAGTAGGTGGATATTATATCATTTTTTTCTCATCTCAGACTTCTGTGTAGATACCTTCATTATCATAATGTCAAAAGGACAATAAAATTATATTCAATCTATCTGTGCTTAGTAAAAAATTTGGTCAAATATTCAAAACCAACAAACTGTAATTTCTTTAAATTTTTTTAATTTTTAATTTGTGTGGGTATATAGTAGGTGTATGTATTTATGAGGTACATGAGATCTTTTGGTACAGGCATACGATGTGTAATAATCACATCAGGGTAAATGGGGTATCCGTCACCTCAAGCATTTATCCTATGTGCTACAAATAATACAATTACACTCTTTTAGTTACTTTGAAATGTACAAATAAATTATTTTTGACTATAGTCCTCCTGTTGTCCTATCTAATACTAGGTCTTATTTATTATTTCTAACCATTTTTTTGTACCAATTAACCATCACTAACTGCCCCCCACCACTCCTCCTCCTAGCCTCTGGTAACCGTCTATCTGTTCTCTATCTCCATGAGTTTGTTTTGACTTTTATATCCCCAAAATAAGTGAAAATATGTGATGTTTGTCTTTCTGTGTCTGGCTTATTTAACAACATAATGATCTCCAGTTCCATTCATGTTGTTGCAGATGACAGAGTATCATTCTTTTTTATGGCTGAATAGCACTCCGTTGTGTATATGTACCACAGTTTCTCCATTCATCTGTTGATGGACACTTAGGTGGCTTCCAAATCTTGGCTATTATGAACAGTGCTGCAACAAACATGGGAGTGCAGATGTCTCTTCAATATACTTTTGGGTATATACCTAGCAGTGAGATTGCTGAATCATATGGTAGCTCTATTTTTAGTTTTTTGAGGATCCTCCAAACTGTTCTCCATAGTGATTGTATTAATTTACATTCCCACTAACAGTGTACAAGGGTTCCCTTTTCTCTACATCCTTACCAGCATTTTTTATTGCCTGACTTTTGGATAAAAGCCATTTTAACTGGAGTCGGATGATATCTCATTGCAGTTTTGATTTACATTTCTCTGATGATCAATGATTTTGAGTACATTTTCATATGTCTGTTTGCCATTCGTATGTCTTCTTTTGAGAAATATCTATTCAAATCTTCTGCCCATTTTTACATCAGATTATTAGACTTTTTCCTATGGAGTTGTTTGAGCAAACTGCAATTTTGTTCACTTCTGAGCCAAGTAGTGTACTAGCATTTACCTTTCCTTCTCAATAAGCCCAATTCTATGACCTCTGTGACAGCTGAAAGTATCAAGTGCAAATAGATTATTCTTACACTCTGCTGACCACTCAAAATCATACCACATTTTACTTTGCTTAATATTAGGACCATTATTTTAGTATGGAGCTTTTAGCTTTCTCCTAGCATTTCTTACCTTTCTTTTTGTTGTGGTTAACAAAATCATATTTTTTTGCACCATATCCTCAGAATTAGCCAGCGTTTTATAGACCTTTGACCAAAAAATTATGATCTGGTTGTGTTTCTCTTTTGTGCTATTGACGTCTTACAAATGTCTGGTAGTCATTTTTTTCCTTGTTATAAATTGAGAATTCTATTGTCCCTCTCTACCTAAATCTGTTTCCCTAGGTGTTGCCCTCTTTTTCCCTCCCCTCCCCAGAAAGAGTGTCTCCATATGTCTTGGTTAGACTTGGACTTGAACTCCTAGGCTTAAGTGATCCTCCTACCTCAGCCTCCTGAGTACTCCTGAGTAGCTAGAACTACAAGCACATGCAACCATACCTGGTTTTCTTTTTTCAAAGGAAGAATATGCATTCTCTGGAAGCATGGGGAAGATGTGAATTTGCAGGTTTTATTTTAGAAGACTCATGGGGAGGTAGCAGCCAGTCACAATGACACCCACCTTGTGGCGAAAAGAAAAAAAGAATGAATTTGTATTGCCTCTTCTGCAAGGCATCTTGGGAAACTACTAATTGGAGACCACTTTACATTAAATTTTAATTTGAGCTTTTTTAGGCCCTGCAGGTATTGTGAATTCAAACCTATACTGGAAAGAATGACTCCCACTTCTGCTGAAATCTATTTCTGGGTATTGTTTTGCTTCTCATTGCCTTGTTCAATTTTTACCTTTGTGTGTCATTTGATTTAAGTGTAGTTCTTATAAACAACTAATTACTGTTCTTTGTCTTTGACAGGGGAACTTATCTAATCATAATTGTAATCATAATATGTTTAAACTTTTTGCTGCCATCGTGTGTTATGTCTTCTTTTGTTTGGGTTTTCAAGTGTCATTTAAAAATACTTCCCTGTTTATAACTTTGTTACTTCTTTCTAATGATTTGCAAATTCTGTATCTTATTTCTCTTATTTTATTGGTTGTTCTGAAATTCGGAACAAAATAATCAATCCATTTATTTCCTAAGTGTCAAGAATTAATCATTTGGCTTTTGATAGTTTGGAATTTTTTATTATATTGTGGATCCTTTGTTTAATGAATCTTCTTTTAAAAATTATATGGCCAGGCACAGTGGCTCATGCCTGTAATCCCAGCACTTTGGGAGGCCGAGGCAGGTGGATCACAAGGTCAGGAGTTCAAGACCAGACTGGCCAATATGGCACAACCCCATCTACTTAAGATATTTTGGGCTGGGCGCAGTGGCTCACACCTGTAATCCTAGCACTTTGGGAGGCTGAGGTGGGGGGGATCACCTGAGATCAGGAGTTGAGACCAGCCTGGCCAACATAGTGAAACCCCATCTCTACTAAAAATACAACAAATTAGCTGGGTGTAGTGGCGGGTGCCTGTAATCCCAGCTACTTGGGAGGCTGAGGCAGGAGAATTGCTTGAACCCAGGAGGCAGAGGTTGCAGTGAGCCGAGATTGCGCCACTGCACTCCAGCCCAGGTGACAGTGTGAGACTTCATCTAAAAAAAAAATTATATTAATTTTTGGAGTGGTAGCCTCAATAATTATTTAGAGTTAAGAGAAATTTTTCTGGTCTCTTTGCTCATCACTGTTTCTTAAATTCAAAACCTTTATCTCCCTTGGTTTATAATTATCGTTTTTTGATAATGTATCTTCAAGGCAATTTTATGGGTGTGATATGGTTTGGCTGTGTCCCCACCCAAATCTCATCGTGGATTGTAGTTTTCATGATCCCCACATGTCATAGGAGGGACCTGGTGGGAGGTAATTGAATCATGAAGGTGGTTACCTCCATGGTGTTCTTGTCATAGTGAGTGAGTTCTCATGAGATCTGATAGTTTTATAAAAGGCCATTCCCCCTCACATGCTCTCTTGCCTGCTGCCATGTAAGATGTGCCTTTACTCCTTCTTCGCCTTACACCATGATTGTGAGGTCTCCCCAGCCATATGAAACTGAGTCCATTAAACCTCTTTTTTAAAATAAATTACCCAGTCTCAAGTATGTCCTTATAGCAGTGTGAGAAGGGATTAATATAGAGTGCCATCAGTAGTTAACATGGCTGTAGAAATACAACTATGCTAAAGTCTTACTTAAAATTCATAACTACAAATCATACATAGGCTCTTAATGTTGGTCTGTGATCATACCACATGTCCCTAGTCTATTTACTCTCCTATTCTTCTAGATGTGTGCTGTCCAATAAGGTAGCCATTATCTATATGCATTTCCATTTCCATTTAAATTAGTTAAAATAAAATAATGTTGTTTCTCAATTCCACTAGCCATGTTTCAAATGTCCAATCACCATATGGTGATAGTGGTCATGCTGGTAGGCAAAGTAATGGCCTCCCAAAAATGTATGCATTCTAATCCTGGAACCTATGGATATGTTACTTTACATGACAAAAGGGACTTTATACATGTGATTAAGGTTAAGGGCCTTGAGATGGGAAGATTATCCTGGATTATCCACAAGGGTTCCAATCTAATCACAAGGATACTTAAAGTGGAGGAGGAAGACAGAAGAAAAGATCAGGGTAATGAGCTGTGAGAACTCAACATGCCTTGCTAGCTTTGAAGATGCAGGTAGGGAGCCACAAGCCACGGAATGCAAATGGGCTCTAGAAGTTAGATCAGTCAAAGAAACAGATTCTCCACCAGAGCCTCCAAAAAGGAATGCAACCATGCTGGCACCTTGGTTTTAGCCCAGTGACACCATGGTGCATTTCTGATCTACAGAACTACAAGATAATAAATTACTGTTGTTTAAGCCACTATAGTTGAGACAATTTGTTGTGGTAGAAATAGAAAACTAATACAGCTACTATTTCAGATAGTACAAATATAGAACATTTCTGTCTCTGCAGGAAGTTCTATTGGACAGCACCAATTTATAAGATTTTAAATAATTGAAGGTATAGTAAATGGAGTCCTCATTCACTTTTGGTAATCTCTCTTTTATATATGTTCACTTTCTGGAATGATCTCATCTAGGCTCATAACTTTGAATAGACAACAATAAAAGCTGTTGATTCCTAAATTTATATCTCTAGTTTGGACTTCTGACTCCAGATGCATATATACACAACTGATCATTTAAACGTTCCAATTAGGTAGTTAATGGGCATCTTAAACACAGCATGTACAAAACTGAACCCCTAATCTCTCCCAGCATAGACTTGCTTTATTTACATTATTTTCATCTTAGTTAATAATAATTATGCCATTTTCAATTTCTCAGGAAAAACACTAGAGTCATTTTTGACTTTTATTTATCTTATAACACTCATACAACCTATATCAAAACTCTTTTTGACTATATAAAAGATACAACTTAGGAACAGCCCATGGAAGAGAAGCATAAAGCAAAGAAAAGGGGGCAGATACAGGACCTTCCAAGCCCTCTTCAGGCTTGCCCACCTCACAGCTCCTCTGTTGATATGTTGGCCAACCCAGAAGCTCTCTGAAATCCACGGTTTAGGGGTTTCTATGGAGACTGCGTTATGTAGGCATGATATTGATTAAATCATTGGCCATTGGTGATTGAACTCAATCTCTAGCCTGTCTTCTCTCCTCAGAGGTCAAGGAGTGAGGCTGAAAGTTCTAGCCCTCTAATCATGTCATAGTTTTTCTGGTGACTAGCCCTCATGCTGAAGCTTTCTAGGGGCCCCCAACCGCCACTCTTCTCATTAGCATACAAAAGATACCCTATTACTCCACAAATTTCAATTTCAGTCTTTTGGAACTATATGCTGGAAACCAGAGTCCAGTTTATTTTTTATTTTATCACATTCCATCTATAAAATATATTCTGCATCTAATGACTTCTCATCACTTCCATTGCTACCACCTTATTCCAAGCCACGATTATCTTTATCCTAGATGATTGTAATAGCCCACTCTATTACAAACATATTCCAGGGTAATAACAGAACCTACTCTAGGGAAATAATGGAAGCCAATTAGTCACAACATTGTTAAATACCTGAAAGAACAAACAGAAGAGTTAGGATAATCCAGACATTAGTTATTATAGCCAGCTGCTACCCCTAGAGATGGTATCATGGGAAACCAAAAGCTGAGATCACCCAATACAAATGGCAATCACAGTAGCCTGCCCAGCAGGGACTGGCCATGGGGCACATGTGGCAG
Source organism: Homo sapiens (assembly GCF_000001405.40). Taxonomy (NCBI): domain Eukaryota; kingdom Metazoa; phylum Chordata; class Mammalia; order Primates; family Hominidae; genus Homo; species Homo sapiens. The sequence continues at coordinate 89,687,609 of NC_000004.12, read as the reverse complement.
TTGCCACAGGCACAACCCAAAGCAATCAGAGAGAGAGAGCAATGCCCCAGCTTGTCCCTTCTTGGTGCCCTGAACTTCATGACAATGCTTCTTTTTGACTAAATTTAGTTTGAAACCAATTAGCAAGGGAATCTGGGAAATATATTTTTTAAGGATTAGACCTCTAAGATATAGATGTAATTAGAGGAAGGGCAGGGAATGAATTTGGGAGAAAACAGTTGCTTTCTAATTTGTCTCCCAGCTTCCATTATAGCTGTCTATCCACCACCACTCTCCAGTACATACACATTCTATTCCAACAGAGGAGGCAAAGTGATCCTTTTAAAATAAAGACAAATTATTTCACTCTAATGGCCCAAATTTTATGGTTGTCTTCCTGTCTTCCAGAGTAAAAGTCAAACTCATCACAGTAGCCTACAACATCTACATGACCTCCCTCCCATTTCACCTCTTTGACCTAATCTGCTTCTTTTTCCCTAACTCAATTTTCTCATGCCACAGTGACCAGCTTGCCACTCCTGGAGGGCACCAGGAAGCTTCCTAACTCTGGATCTTTCCAGCTACTCTTGTTCCTTTCCTCTAATATCTGCATGGGTTACTCTCTCACCTGCTTCAAGCCATGCCCAAATACCAGGTTTTCACATTAAAGAGCTATACTTGAGCATCACAGCAATGTGCTGACAACACGTAACAAAAGCTTCCTGTAAAAGAACTGAAATGGAAGAGATATTTAGTGCTCAATGCTTTTACTGATGCTGTTGTTTCCTTATATTAAACTATGCTAACTTAACACATCTTTGTTGTCTTCTATGATTTGATATCTAATGAAAAACATTATGCTATTACATTATTATCAAAGCTATAGCTGTAAAAAGAATTTGAGCAGCCAGATATGAAAATGCAGATGACACCCCAGAATATTTATGTTGTTGATGTTGCTCAATACAATTCATTTCATGGTTCAACTCAGCACAATATCCTACTTGAACAAAATAATAAAGAGAAAAATGCCAAATAATAGAGGAGAATGTAGTAGACTCTAAAGCAACAGTTTAGTTATTACACCAAAAACAAGTGCTATCTGAATAAATCATAAACTTGACAGATTTTGACATGAAGGAGCTAATCTAGTAGAAGAGTCATAATTCCAAGTCTCTCTCTTGTCTTTTTTTATTTCAAGGAAATTTTGATTGAATGCCAACTGAAGCACTGAGTTGCATGCTGCAAAATTTTGGAAATATTTGTTATTTTTTCTCAATAAAACAGTAAAAACAAAGTAGTATATGATCTAAAAGTAAATCTGCTAACAAAGCAGAAACCAACCTGTAAGCACTTCTCTGCCTCATGCCTGTCTCACACTATATAAGTAATCTTTTACCTGAACGGGATATTAGCTACATCATTGCTTTTAACCAAGATCTGTTTTCTTCAGTGTTGACATGCATTTAATTTTCCTGGCCAATGAGAAGTGTGGCTAGGAAAACTGAAAAGGGTATCAAATATGGCCATTACAAATATGGCCACAATCATCACTCCTTTCCTTATCCATGCCATTTTCCATTGATTTTCAACTTCTCCCATCAAGAGATGGAGTCTGTTTCTTCACATCTTTATCTGGGCTGGCCTGGTAAATAGAATGTGGTAGAAGTGACAGGATGCTATTTTCAAGCCACGAACTCAACGCCCTTCTGTGTGACTCTTTCAGAACTCTGCCACCATCATGCCTCTCTTCTTCATGTGGTTTCTCATCCACCATCAGTCTAAACCAGCCAGCAGCAGACCCTACATACATGATCAGCTCAGAAAAAACATCCAGCTGAGCTCAGTCCAGACTGCCAGTTTGCAGATATGTAGGCTAAAAGAGGAGCTGCTTTAAGCCACTATGTTTGCGATTGATTGTTACGTGGTAATTATAAGGTAGCATCTTGCTTTGCTGAAAAGTAGAGAAAAAAGATACTGATTTCATTTTGAATTGCAGCTTGAGTTTTAACTGGAATAAGCAGAAGGTCCCTTTGGAGTCAACAGATTAGATAAAAAGAGTTGGGTTGTTTGTTCCTCCTAGTGTTTCCTCACTAATCACAGTTCTAGATACCAGTGGCTGGCACTCATGCACTACGTAGTGGTACAGGAAGTCCATCACCCTTAAAGCAGAGGAGCTCTGAGGGCTGAATGGGCATTTCCAAATCTACTCAGACACCTAAGAGAAAAACACCATGTTTAATCACTGTCACACAAATGTACTACATTGATTGTCAACTTTTGTTTGATTAAATCACTCTTTTGTGGAAAAGGAGGCTAAAATTCTTATGGCACAAAATTGGCTCACACAAACTAAAGGACAAAATATTCATAAATCACACACCACAACTAGAATTGAATTATTTTGGTCATACTGAGTAGAAAGAGAAGTCCCTTCTACACAGTCCTCAGACTGGTATATCATTGTTTGGGAGGATAGGAGATGACTCTCCAGATGAATCAATTCTGAAAACAAATGGACTGGACCAGTTCGAACCTCACAGGAAGAGCCAGTATAAAGTATATGGGCATCTAATGAAATTAGATGAATGTAAGAAATACTGGGAAAACAATGATAAAGAAGGCAAAAGGAAATCACCTACCCAAGCACCTATTGTTTCTAGATTTATCATTGGCAGATATGTGAAGTCACCCAAAATATCTTCTTGATACTGACTAAAGTCTTCATTTCACATGTGTCCCCTTACTACACAATTCAACTATACAAAATCATTCTGGAAATCAAGTCTATCATGTACTAATTAACTCATATTTACATGTATCACTATGTACTAAGAATCTTCATTATGTCAGGTCATGATAAGGATTCAAAAATGAGTAAGCCATAGACACTGTGTTACACAATATATGGGGGATGTTGGTAAAGAAACACTTTAACATAGCTAACAAAAGGTAGAAAATAGGAAGAAATGACATTAATAGAAAATGGCGATAATCATTTGAATTGGACCCTGAAGGACAGCCAGGATTTGAACATGAATAACAGTGGCATGGAAGAAGATGAAACCTAAGATGAGACAATAGCTTGTTTCTCTTTGCAGAGAGGAAAATATATTGGGTGGACTTGGCCAAAGCTATTACATTAGTAAAGCTTTTCTTGGGAGGTCCTGGCCTCTTGTTGTTGACCTAAGAAGGTAAGAAGAAGGAAAAAAGCATTAGCATAGGAAATGAACTATATTTAGGACTAAATTATATAGAAACATATATCCTTGCTTCTGAAATATAAATCAGTGTGTACTTTGTAACTTTTCAAATGAATATTCATAACTTAGAATTTATTTTAATGACATTTTAGTCATATCTCAAGCAATGCACACGTTAATTTTCCTTTGTCTGCAACTTTATTACTCCATTGGAATTACTGGATTTTGCTACCCTTTTTGTTCTGTGATACAATTAGTCCATGTAGATTTGTTTGTACTTACCTTTAGCCTAGTAAATAATGTGGATTATGGATACCTTTAGTGTGCCTGATTTTGTTCTGAGTATATTTTTCTCAGATAATTCAAAAGTTATCACTTTACTGACTGACTTGAATTCCTTCCTAACAAATCTAAATGCCTTGTTTGTGTTTTTTGCTTCTTCATCTGACTATTTTCTCTCCTCTATCTTATGTTTTCTTTTTTTTTTTTTGTCCTCCAAATTTTCCTGTAGCAAAATGAAATTGTTGTCTCCTATCAGATTATAGCAATCCTGGCATTATTATAAAAGATTTCCCTTATCTAATTGGAACTAAGAAGTGATATGTTTTAATCTGAGATATTTCTAGACTGACATAAAAAGTAAAGTTTTGAATTTGGCTATATCACTTAACCCATAAACAAGCTTAGTACACCTTACTTCAGATTCCTTATGAATAAATTCTGACTTTGATAGAAAAATTAACACAAGTTTATTGTATGTTTTGTGTGTCAGAAATTGTGCTACATGATAGAAAACACACAGAAACATAAGATTCTCATAAGGCTAAGGACTATGAAATATAAGGAAATCAATAAAATTAGCCAAAATGCCTCATGAAAATGCAAATCATGTTTTAAATGCTAAAGAGAGCTTCATATTAACTGTATAGAACTTTATATTCCAACACATTATGAAGTGATCAACAGTGAAGACAGAATATTGTCAAACAGACTCGATTTCCCTTTTAGTGTTTTCCAAGCACGACTACATAAAAGTTATAGTTCTCCAGTAACCAAGATGCTAATGTTTACAAAATTCTTTTCTTTGTGTCTCATTGCTGTAGAATAACTTCTTTCTTCAGCATTATTGTTGGCATTCTTTGATATCCATGAAGGCCTCTTTTTAAAAAATTTTCTTTTATATTTTTCTTTCTTCAAAATTAAACAGCAGGGATAAGTAAAAAAAAAATCTTATACCTTAGAATTTTGACAGATAAGTGCAGGATATAAAGGGTATGCATAGGATTTAAAATGTAATGGGATATGTGGAAGACTATATAGAGGCCTGTGACTATAACCTAATGCATGGTGCTGTGGTCTAGGAATTACCAAGGCCCGGAGACTCTGGGGAGATAATCCTTATCACTTGTACCTCACTAGCTAAGCTCTGTATTATGCAATGTAGGTGGAAGTATGATAAAGAAAAGGGGTAGGCTTTGGAAGTGATTGGAGAAAACACTGTAGTGATGGCCAGATATAATTGTAGTAAAACTTTACCTGTTTGAATTGAGCTTGGAAATAATAGTTCAGACTATTTGCTTGGTGACAGAGATCAGGCACTACGAGGTTAATGAAATATTTTAAGACTTTGAAAGACAAACTGGTTTTTATCTTCTTTTTTACTTTAGGTCCTATAAAGTTTTTACACCAAAGAGCCATTACTACTGTATAGGGAAAGAAAAACAAGACCTTGCCTTTTTTGGTAAAGCAAGATGGATAAATTATTTTGAAAAATAAATATTTACCTACAATTTTTGAAAATCATGAATTTATAGTTTCCATACAGTGTAGGATGCACTAATCTGATATCACATTTGTGATTTGTCTAAATGATTACTATTTAGAAGAAAAACATGTTTATCTCAGTTTTTATAGTCTTTGCTAAGATTTAAGGTATTTGTAATAAAAACTCTTGGTAACCTCTTAAACTTGTAATGGTCATGTAGCAAAAATTTGCTACAAACATAAACTTGAGATCAGCAGTAAGACAAGAAGGACCATCCCCACAACTACTATATCACAAAGTACTGGAGGCCTTATCAAATTCTATGTGAAAAGAAAAGAAAATGAGTTACAAAATCTCGAAGAGAAAGGCCAAAATTGTCATTATTTTCAAATGAGGTAATAATATGCCCAGAAAAAAAAAGAACAAGAAACAACTGATAAAGTATTAAAACTAAAAAACTGAGGGCAGCAAGTTTACCATATTCAAGATTAACCCACCTTGGGAAACTCTTCAGAGATGCAACAAATGGGAGAATTCTTGACCAAGGAAATGGAAATCATACAACAATATGTAATTGTCTTTAAATGTGTTATGCAAACATCTCAAAAACATAAAGATGAAATAAAATCTACGCAACAAGTACTGAAAGTTACTAAACAAAAATAGTAAAATATGAAAAGAACTCTTTTAAAAACATAAAAATGAAAAAATACTATTACAAATGAGAAACTCAAAGGTTGAAATAAACATTTGATAACATGGCTGAATATAGAATTAAATACTGAAGTATAGAACTGATGAACTAACTTAGAAGGCAGCACAAGACCTAGCAGATAGAATTATATGAAAAGGGATCAGTAGGGTCCTTGGCAAGGTCAGTTTGTTTTTTAATTCAGATTTATAAATGTTTTTGTGAAATGCCCAAATACTAGGAATAAAGAGAAGGTCATAAAAGCAACCAAAGAAAACAAACATTACCTACAAATGATGCAGGATTTTTGCTCCAGAGTTCAACTAAAATCCGGGTTCTTGTCTAACAACCAGGAAAAATTAGGCACGCAGACACCTTGAAAGGTAAGGATGGTGGCATTTAGTAAAAGAAAGCTCTCAGCGAAAATAAAAAGAGGGACCTGCCAACAGGCTCCCAGCTCACAGACTGAATATCAGGCCACCACACAGGAGCTGAAGAGGCCAGACTCCTCCCCGGGCATCAGGCGTGAATTCCCGGTGGCTCCACCCCACTCTCCCGGTACGCAGGTGGGCCCCCGGTCTGCTGTGGGCATGCCCAGGCAAAGCCCTGGGCAGGTTCCCTCATTTGCACAGAAGCATCTAATGTAAACACTTGTGGGGCAGGTCAGAGATTCTCTGGGAACCCTCCCTTATCTGCCTCTTGCATCTATCACAAATAGATAACATCTCTATGAGTGTTCTCACTAGTAACACAATGTCCTAGAAGTTATATTTTCAAACTTTAGAAGGGAAATGATTGTCAGTATAGAGTTCTGCACCCTAATAAACCATCATTCGAGAGTGAGTGTAAAATATAAGTATTTCAGATACTGAGTTTTTGATCACATGTACTAACTGAAAAATAACTATAGAATGTACTTCAGGAAAAAAAAAAAGATCTCAAATAAGAGTAAATATTGAGAAAAAAATTATTCAAAATAAGCAGCAAAACATGTTCACAAATTTAAATAAGCATTGACTATTAGAAAAGCTGTATTGTGTGCTTAAAACAATTTGTAACAAATATTCCACATGTGATCATGGAAGATAGGAGCATGATTTAGTCCAGAATGTAACATCTCTCTGCTTTGAAAGAATACAGACTAACTGGTTCTAGGTAATATTAGAAAATATAAATATGATATATAAGTGAAAAAATGTTGAGTTAACCCTGAAAGAATAGAATTAAGTACATTACTTCTAAACTTATAAAGAAAAAAGAGGGGAATAGAAATGACTTCATTGGATCAATAGAATATAGGGTAAGGGAAAAAGGGACAGAAAAAGTGAGAGGTGAAGCCAGCTGGGCTTCTGGGTTGGGTGGGGACTTGGAGAACTTTTCTGTCTAGCTAAAGGATTGTAAATACACCAATCAGTTCTCTGTGTCTAGCTAAAGGTTTGTAGACACACCAGTCAGTGCCAATCAGTGCTCTGTGTCTAGCTAATCCGGTAGGGGGCTTGGAGAACTTTTCTGTCTAGCTAAAGGATTGTAAATGCACCAATCAGTGCTCTGTGTCTAGCTAAAAGTTTGTAAACATACCAATCAGTGCTCTGTGTCTAGCTAATCAGGTAGGGGACTTGGAGAACTTTTCTGTCTAGCTAAAGGATTGTAAATGCACCAATCAGTGGTCTGTGCTAGCTAAAGGTTTGTAAATACACCAATCAGCGCTCTGTGTCTAGCTAATTGGGTAGGGGACTTGGAGAACTTTTCTGTCTAGCTAAAGGATTGCAAATGCACCGATCAGCGTTCTGTGTCTAGCTAAAGCTTTGTAAATGCACCAATCAGTGCTCTGTGTAAAAACGGACCAATCAGCACTCTGTAAAATGGACCAATCAGCTCTCTGTAAAATAGACCAATCAGCAGGATGTGATTGGGGCCAAATAAGGGAATAAAAGCAGGCCACCTGAGCAACCCACTCAGGTCCCCTTCCACTTTTTCGAAGTTTTGTTCTTTTGCTCTTTGCAATAAATCTTGCTGCTGCTCACTCTTTGGGTCTGTGCCACCTTTAAGAGCTGTAACACTCACTGCAAAGGTCTGCAGCTTCACTCCTGAAGCCAGCGAGACCACAAACCCACTGGGAGGAACGAGGAAGGAGGAACAAAACAACTCTGGACGGGAGGAATGTACAACTCTGGACGTGCCACCTTTAAGAGATGTAACACTGCAAAGGTCTGCAGCTTCACTCCTGAAGCCAGAGAGACCACGAACCCACCGGAAGGAACGAACAACTCCAGAAGCGCCACCTTTATGAGCTGTAACACTCACTGCGAAGGTCTGCAGCTTCACTCCTGAAGCCAGCGAGACTATTAACCCACCAGAAGGAAGAAACTCTGGACACGTGAACATCTGAAGGAACAAACTCCGGACACACCATCTTTGAGAACTGTAACACTCACCACGAGGGTCTGCGGCTTCATTCTTGAAGTCAGCAAGACCAAGAACCCACTGGAAGGAACCAATTCCAGACACAAAGGCATGGCACAGAAAACATAAACTAAAATGCTGAAAAAAGTCAACACATCTGAAAAATCATCAAGAATCAGAATGAGTTAAACCCACTTTTCCAATGCCAGGAATCTCAGATTACCTAAACGAAATCCAGTTATATCCTTTATAAGAGAAACACCAAATGCAATAACACAGAAATGCTGAAAATAAAAAGAAAAAGGAGAAAGCATGTGAACATTAATAAGAAAAAAGCTGGTACACCAATATTAATATCAGAAAAGAATGAAATTTCAGATGAAATATATTAAGAAGGAAAAGAACACTTTATACCAATAAAATAAATCATCAAGTAAATACTATAATGTTGAATCTATAAAAATATGTAAAACAAGTAATAGCCAGATTACAAGAGGAAATGGATAGTTCCACAGTCACAGCGTCACAGAGGGAGATTTTCAACAAATCACTCATATACTGAGAGATAAAGGAGACAAAAATTTAAAAATAAGATTTGAAAAACAATAAAAATTTTCATCTGAAAGAATTTGTATGTGGAAAGATCATTTTCAGTTGCCATGTACTTTCTTTAGTATAATGGCTTGCCCCCTGCCTTAGTAAATGCTCACAAATCCATCACTTGACATTTTCCCCCAAACTGTTTTTTTTTTCTTTCCAATTATGTCCTTTAGATTTTCACTTTAAATGCTGTCCTCTGGCCTTCTTTAATTAATTTCTCATGGTGAAATTATTTCTCTGATTATGATTCCATTTAAACAAACCAGATAAATCAGATCCTTTAAAAAATCTCCAGGAGAGAGCACCATCCGCTGACTTCCACTTAAGCATCATTGATCAGGGATTTGTCATCTGACCACTACTAGCTTCAAAGACAATTGGCTTTCTTTACCAACGCGGCAGAAAGCCATTTTGTACCATAAAATAGCAAAATTGATCGCTAAACTGCAGGAAGATAAAATGAATAAGTGAATAAATAAATAAATATGAATATACTTGCATAACCTCCTCCTCCCAAATTTGAGTACCCTGTAGTCTGTGATCAAAAAATACCAAACTGACAGAAATTGAATTAAAACTTAAAATCACTTCTGTAATAAAATTACAAAAGTTGGGGGAATTGGAAGGGATTATATTCATATAGACAGTAATTTATATTAAAAAAATATCATTTTAAAGCAATGTCTTAATCAGCTCCACAAACCTGGCCACCACAAACCCAGCCCACTCATCTTTTGATTGTTTCTTAGTCTGTCCACATACCCTATTCTTACCCAGCATTTTCTTTTTTTAGTGTAAAAATTCCTTATAAGTTATATATATATATATGTATATGTGTGTGTGTATATATATATAAACACACACACATACACACACACACACACACTTTAAGTTCTTGGTTACATGTGGAGAATGTGCAGTTTTATTACATAGGTATACACATGCCCTGGTGGTTTGCTGCACCCATCAACCCGTCACCTACATTAGGTATTTCTCCTAATGTTATCCCTCCCCTAGCCCCCCACCCCCCAACAGGCCCCAGTGTGTGATGTTCCCCTCCCTGAGTTCATGTGTTCTCATTGTTCAACTCCCACTTATGAGTGAGAACATGCAGTGTTTGGTTTTCTGATCTTGTGATAGTTTGCTGAGAATGATGGTTTCCAGCTTCATCCTTGTCCCTGTAAAGGACATGAACTCATCCTTTTTTATGGCTGCATAGTATTCCATGGTGTACATGTGCCACATTTTCTTAATCCAGTCTATCATTGGTGGACATTTGGGTTGATTCCAAGTCTTTGCTATTGTGAATAGTGCCACAATAAACATACGTGTGCATGTGTCTTTATCATAGAATGATTTATAATGCTTTGGGTATATCCCCAGTAATGGGATTGCTGGGTCAAATGGTATTTCCAGTTCTAGATCCTTGAGGAATTGCCACACTGTCTTCCATAATGGTTGAACTAATTTACACTCCCACCAATAGTGTAAAAACATTACTATTTGTCCACAACCTCTCCAGCATCTGTTGTTTCGTAACTTTTTAGTGATTGCCATTCTAACTGGTGTGAGATGGTATCTCATTGTGGTTTTGATTTGCATTTCTCTAATGACCAGTGATAATGAGCATTTTTTCATATGTCTGTTGGCTGCATAAATGCCTTCTTTTGAGAAGTGTCTGTTCATATCGTTTGCCCATTTTTTGATGGTGGTTTGTTTTTTTCTTGTACATTTATTTAAGTTGTTTGTAGATTCTGGATATTAGCCCTTTGTCAGACGGATAGATTGCAAATATTTTCTCCCATTCTTTAGGTTGTCTGTTCACTCTGATGATAGCTTCTTTTGCTGTGCAGAAGCTCTTTAGTTTAATTAGATCACATTTGTCAATTTTGGCTTTTGTTGCTATTGCTTTTGGTGTTTTAGACATGAAGTGTTTGCTCATGCTTATGTCCTGTATAGTATTGCCCAGGTTTTCTTCTAGGGTTTTTATGGTCCTAGGTCTTACGTTTAAGTCTTTGATCCATCTTAAGGTGATTTTTGTAAAAGGTGTAAGGAAGGGGTCCAGTTTCAGTTTTCTGCATATGGCTAGCCAGTTTTCCCAACACTATTTACTAAATAGGGAATCTTTTCCCCATTGCTTGTGCGTGTCAGGTTTGTCAAAGATCAGATGGTTGTAGCTGTGTGGTGTTATTTCTGAGGTCTCCGTTCTGTTCCATTGGTCTATATATCTGTCCTGCCACCAGTACCATGCTGTTTGGGTTACTGTAGCCTTGTAGTATAGTTTGAAGTCAGGTAGCATGATGACTCCAGCTTTGTTCTTCTTGCCCAGGATTGTCTTGGCTATGCAGACTCCTTTTTGGTTCCATATGAAGTTTAAAATAGTATTTTTCCAATTCTGTGAAGAAAGTCAGTGGTAGCTTGATGGGGATAGCATTGAATCTATAAATTACTTTGGGCAGTATGGCCATTTTCACCACATTGATTCTTCCTACCCATGAGCATGGAATGTTCTTCCATTTATTTGTGTCTTCTTTTATTTCATTCAGCAGTGATATGTAGTTCTCCTTGAAGAGGTCCTTCACATCCCTTGTAAGTTGGACTCCTAGGTATTTTATTCTTTTAGTAGCAATTGTGAATGGGAGTTCACTCATGATTTGGCTGTTTGTCTGTTATTGGTGTGTAGGAATGCTTGTGATTTTTGCACATTGATTTTATAACCTGAGACTTTGCTGAAGTTGCTTATCAGCTTAAGGAGGTTTTGGGCTGAGATGATGGGGTTTTCTAAATATACAATCATGTCATCTGCAAACAGAGACAATTTGACTTTCTCTCTTCCTTTCTGAATACCACTTATTGCTTTCTCTTGCCTGATTGCCCTGGCCAGAACTTCCAGTACTATGTTGAATAGGAGTGGTGAGAGAGGGCATCCCTGTCTTGTGCCAGTTTTCAAAGAGAATGCTTCTAGCTTTTGCCCATTCAGTATGATATTGGCTGTGGGTTTGTCATAAATAGCTCTATTTTGAGATATGTTCCATTGATACCTAGTTTATTGAAAGTTTTTAGCATGAAGCCCTGTTGAATTTTGTCAAAGGCCTTTTCTGCATCTATTGAGATAACCATGTGGTTTTTGTCATTGGTTCTGTTTGTATGATGGATTACATTTATTGATTTGCATATGTTGAACCAGCCTTACATCGCAGGGATGAAGCCAACTTGATCATGCTGGATATGCTTTTTGATGTGCTGCTGGATTCAGTTTGCCAGGATTTTATTGAGGACTTTCACATCGATGTTCATCAGGGATGTTGGCCTGAAATTTTCTTTTTTTGTTGTGTCTCTACCAGGTTTTGGTATCAGGATGATGCTGTCCTCATAAAATGAGTTAGGGAGGAGTCCCTTTTTTTCTATTGTTTGGAATAGTTTCAGAAGAAATAGTACCAGCTCCTCTTTGTACCTCTGGTAGAATTCGTGTTGGGATTCACTCAGGATGGTGGCAGAAATATTAAAGGGAAATATTAGGGAAAGTTATAGGGAATAGTCACAAATCTTTTGGAAGGCCGAAAGGTTACATAGCTTGTAATAACTGAACAGGGCAAAGGCAGCCTGTTCTTACCTTAGAGCATTAGGTCATAGCGTAAATATTAGGGACAATAGAGGCTTCTCCAGTTAAGTGTGTTTACCCTACCTCCATTAACTAACCTTTGAGCCAGATGGCTCTCTCGGTGGGGGAGAGGTCTAAGAGGCAAATTGCCCCCTCATGGTAGTTACTTTAGACCCCGGTACCTGAGCTTTAATCATTCCTAGAACTACTCTCTTAACCATGTTAGTTATCCGCAAGTGTGTTTACTCAAAGCTTCTGTTGTTAATTGTATACCAAATAAATGCCTGGAATGCGAACTGCTCAGGGCCGGCCACAGTGACAAACCTCTCTTGATGTGCAGGCAGTTGGACACTCAGCTGAACTGGCAAAACAAAATATCTGTGTGTCAGGGTACATTTTATTCATCCATCGTTTGGGTCAGGGTCTGCAGGCAGACCCCCGCAGCTAATGCCCCCAAGTGTGAAGAGCAATACCTCAAATTTGGCTGTGAATCCATCTGGTCCTGGACTTTTTTTGGTTGGTAGGCTATTAATTACCGCCTCAATTTCAGAACTTGTTGTTGGTCTATTCGGGGATTCAACTTCTTCTTGGCTTAGACTTGGGAGGGTGTATGTGTCCAGGAATTTATCCATTTCTTCTAGATTTTCTAGTTTATTTGCATAGAGGTGTTTATAGTATTCTCTGATGGTAGTTTGTATTTCTGTGGGATCAGTGGTGATATCCCCTATGTCATTTTTTATTGCGTCTATTTGATTCTTCTCTCTTTTCTTCTTTATTAGTCTGGCTAGCGGGTTATCTATTTTGTTGGTTTTTTTTTTGTTTTTTGTTTTCAAAAAAAAAAAAAAAAACAGTTCCTGGATTCATTGATCTTTTTTTGAACGGTTTTTCATGTCTGTATCTCCTTCAGTTCTGCTCTGATCTTAGTTATTTCATGTCTTCTGCTAGCTTTTGAATTTCTTTGCTGTTGCTTCTCTAGTTCTTTTAATTTTCATGTTAGGGTGTCAATTTTAGATCTTTCCTGCTCTCTTTTGTGGGCATTAATGTTATAAATTTCCCTCTAAACACTGTTTTAAATGTGTCCCAGAAATTCTGGTACATTGTGTCTTCATTCTCATTGGTTTTAAAGAACATCTTTATTTCTGCCTTCATTTTGTTATTTACCCAGTAGTCATTCAGGAGCAGACTGTTCAGTTTCCATGTATTTGTGTGGTTTTGAATGGGTTTCTTAATCCTGAGTTCTAATTTGATTGCACTGTGGCCTGAGAGACTGTTATGATTTCTGTTCTTTTGCATTTGCTAAAGAGTGTTTTACTTCCAATTATGTGGTCAATTTTAGAATAAGTGCTATGAGGTGCTGAGAAGAATGTATATTTTGTTGATTTCAGGTGGAGAGTTCTGCAGATGTCTGTTAGATCTGCTTGATCCAGAGCTGAGTTCAAGTCCTGAATATCCTTGTTAATTTTCATTGATCTGTCTAATATTGACAGTGGGGTGTTAAAGTCTCCCACTATTATTGTGTGGGACTCTAAGTCTCTTTGTAGGTCTCTAAGAACTTGCTTTATGAATCTTGGTGCTCCTGTATTGGGTGCATATGTATTTAGGATAGTTAGCTCTTCTTGCTGCATTGTTCCCTTTACCATTATGTAATGTCCTTCTTTGTCTCTTTTGATCTTTGTTGGTTTAAAGTCTATTTTGTCAGATATTAGGATTAGGATTGCGACTCCTGCTTTTTTTTTTTTTTTTTTTTTTTTTGCTTTCCATTTGATTGGTAAATATTCCTCTATCCCTTTATTGTGAGCCTATGTGTGTCTTTGCATGTGAGATGGGTCTCCTGAATACAGCACATTGATGGGTCTTGACTCTTTATCCAATTTGCCAGTCTGTGTCTTTTAATTGGGGCATTTAGCCCATTCAACTTAAGGTTAATATTGTTATGTGTGAATTTGATCCTGTCATTATGATGTTAGCTGGTTATTTTGCCCGTTAATTGATGCAGTTTCTTCACAGCATTGATGGTCTTTACAATTTGGTATTTTTTGCAGTGGCTGGTACTGGTTGTTCGTTTCCATGTTTACTGCTTCTTTCAGGAGCTCTTGTAAGGCAGGTCTGGTGGTGACAAAATCCCTCAGTATTTGCTTGTCTGTAAAGGATTTTATTTCTCCTTCACTTATGAAGCTTAGTTTGGCTGGATAGGAAATTCTGGGTTGAAAATTATTTTCTTTAAGAATGTTGAATATTGGCCCCCACTCTCTTCTGGCTTGTAGGGTTTCTGCAGAGAAATCTGCTGTTAGTCTGATGGGCTTCCCTTTGTGGGTAACCCGACCTTTCTCTCTGGCTGCCCTTAACATTTTTTCCTTCATTTCAACCTTGGTGAATCTGACAATTATGTGTCTTGGGGTTGTTCTTCTCGAGGAGTATCTTTGTGGTGTTCTCTGTATTTCCTGGATTTGGATGTTGGCCTGTCTTGCTAGGTTGGGGAAGTTCTCCTGGATAATATCCTGAAGAGTGTTTTCCAACTTGGTTGGAAGCATAGTCCCATATTTCTTGGAGGATTTGTTTATTCCTTTTTATTCTTTTTTCTCTAATCTTATCTTCTCTCTTTATTTCATTATGTTGATCTTCAGTCACTGATATCCTTTCTGCTGCTTGATTGATTCGGCTATTGATACTTGTGTATTCTTCACAAAGTTCTCATGCTGTGTTTTTCAGCTCCATCAGGTCATTTACATTCTTCTCTACATTGATTATTCTAGTTAGCAATTCAACTAACTTTTTTCAAGGTTCTTAGCTTCCTTGCATTGGGTTAGAACATACTCCTTTAGCTCGGAGTTGTTTGTTATTACCCACCTTCTGAAGCCTACTTCTGTCAATTTGTCAAACTCATTCTCCATCCAGTTTTGTTCCTTTGCTGGCAAGGAGTTTTGATCCTTTGGAGAAGAGGCATTCTGGTTTTTGGAATTTTCAGCCTTTTTGTGCTGCTTTTTCCCCATCTTTGTGGATTAATCTACCTTTGGTCTTTGATGTTGGTGACCTTCAGATGGGGTCTTTGAGTGGACATGCTAATCCTTTCTTTTTGTTTCTTTTCCTTGTAACAGTCAGGCCCCTTTTCTGCCAGCCTGCTGGAGTTTGCTGGAGGTCCACTCCCTACCCTGTTTGCCTGGGTATCACTAGTGGAAGCTGCAGAGCAGCAAAGATTGCTGCCTGTTCTTTCCTCTGGAAGCTTCAACCCAGCAGTCACCTGCCAGATGCCAGCCAGAGCTCTCCTTGTATGAGGTGACTGTCACCCCAACTGGGAGGTGTCTCCCAATTGGTATACATGGGGATCAGGGACCCACTTGAGGAGGCAGACTGACCCTTAGCAGAGCCCAAACACTGTGCTGGGAGGTCTGCTGCTCTCTTCAGAGCTATCAGGTAGGGACGTTTAAGTCTGCTATAAGCCCCTGACTGGGGCTGCTGCCTTTTTTACAGAGATGCCTTGTCCAGAGGGGAGCAATCTGGCAGTTGGGCCACAGCAGCCTTGCTGAGCTGCAGTGGGCTCCACCCAGTTCGAACTTCCTAGCAGCTTTGTTACCCTTGCTGTAAAACTGTCTACTCAAGCCTCAGCAATGGCAGACACCCCTCCCTCACACCAAGCTCCACCGTCCCAGGTGGATCTCAGATTGCTGCTGTGCTGGCAGTGAGAATTTCAAGCCAGTGGATCTTAGTTTCCTGGGCTCTGTGGGGGTGGGACCCACCGAGTCAGACCACTTGGCTCCCTGGCTTCAGCCCCCCTTTCCAGGGGAGTGAACGGTTCTGTCTCACTGGCATTCCAGGCACCACTGGGTTATGGAAAGAAAAGATCCTGCACCTAGCTCTAGTTCGGTGTCTGCCCAATTGGCCACCCAGTTTTGTGCTTGAAACCCAGGGCCCTGGTGGGGTAGTCACCAGAGGGAATCTCCTGGTTGGTGGGTTATGAAAACTGTGGGACAAGCACTGTATCTGTGCTGGAGTTCTTCAGGCTCTGACCCTCACAGCTTCCCTTGGGTTGGGGACAAAATTCCCTAACCCCTTGAGCTTCCCAGGTGAGGTGATGCCCCACCCTACTTAGGTTTGCCCTCCATGGGCTGCAGCCACTGTCCAACCAGTCCCAATGAGATGAACTGGGTACCTCAGTTGGAAATGCAGAAATCACCCACCTTCTGCATCGATCTCGCTGGGAGCTGCAGACTGTTCCTGTTCTTATTTGGCCATCTTGAATTTCCCTGTGGCCATTATAAGTTTTCTATAAGTTCTCTCAGTTCTTAATAGCAATTATGCTGATCAACATACACCCCTCTCAAAATGCCTTAAGCTTAACAAGAAAACACAGAATCTTGATCTTCACTTGTCTTGACTTTTAAAATTGTGTTCAATGTTGAATAAACCAACATAAACTCAGAAGCTAGTTCATTCACTTTGTTTTAAACCCTTTTTAAATTCAAAGCCAGGCTAAATTTTCAGGAACACACTTGTTCTTGACTTTGCAACTTATCCTTCTGTACATCCCCTTTAATATTTAAAAAACATGTTTGAAACAAAATACTTTGAAATTTGAAGAAAAAATATTGCAAAGCCAAGTGTCAAGAAATAGACACCTTGAAAAAATGAAAAAGCTAATGGAACAGAATAAAGAACCCAGATACAAATCCAACATTTACAAGAAACATATTTGACAAAGGTGTCAAAAATATGCAATGGAGAAAGGATAGTCTCTTCTATAAATGGTGCTGGAAAAACTGGATAATCAGTTGAGTGCAGTGGCTCATGCCTGTAATCCCAGCACTTTGGAAGGCCAAGATGGGAGGATCACCTGAGGTTGGGAGTTTACATGATGAAACTCTGTCTCTACTAAAAGTACAAAAATTAGCCAAGTGTGGTAGCACACACCTGTAGCCTCAGCTACTCAGGAGGCTGAGTGAGGCATGAAATCGTTTGGTTTTTGGGAGGCAGAGGTTGCGGTGAGCCAAGATTGCGCCACTGTACTCCAGCCTGGGTGACAGAGTAAGACTCTAAAAAGAAGGAGGGAAGGAAAGGAAGGAAAGGAAAGAAAGGAAAGGAAAGGAGAGGAGAGGAGAAGTCAGAGAGAGAGAGAGAAGGAGGGAGAGAGGGAGGGAGACTGGATAAGAGTATGCAAAAGAATAAAACTAGTCTGCTGGCCAGGCATGGTGGCTCATGCCTATAATGCTAGCACTTTGGGAGGCCGAGGTGGGTGGATCATGAGGTCAGGAGTTTGAGACCAGCCTGGCCAATATGGTGAAACCTCATTTCTACTAAAAATACAAAAATTAGCCAGGCATGGTGGCACACACCTGTAGTCCCACCTACTCAGGAGGCTAAGGAAGAAGAATTGCTTAAACCTGGGAGGTGGAGGTTGCAGTGAGCCGAGATCATGCCACTGCACTCCAGCCTGGGTGACAGAGCAAGACTCCATCTCAAAACAACAACAACAACAAAAACCTAGACCCCCTATCTCTCACCATATACAAAAATCAAATCAAAATGAATCAAAGAGTTCTGTGTAAGAGATAATATGACACTGCTAGAAGAAAACATTGGGGAAGTACTCAGGGACATTGATATGGGCAAAAATTTGGTGTGTAAGCCCTCAAAAGCACAGGCAACAAAGGCAAAAATAGACAAATGGGATTGTATCAAGCTAAAAAGTTTCTGTACAGCAAAGGAAACAATCAACAAAGTGAAGAAACAACCCATAGAATGAGAGAAAATATTTGCAAACTATCCATCTGACAAGGGATTAAAACCAGAACATATAAGGGGATCAAACAACTGAACAGTAAAAAGAACAATTTAAAAATGGGCAAAAGATCTGAATGGACATTTCTCAAAAGATGACATACGAATGGCCAACAAGTATATGAAAAGATGTTCAGCATTACTAATCATGAAAGAAATGCAAATCAAAGCCACAATGAGATTTCGCTCACCCTAATTAACATGGCATTTATTACAGAGACAGGGAATAACAGATACTGGTGGGGATATGGAGAAAGGGGAACTCTCCTACACTGTTGATGGGAATGTAAATTAGTACAGTCACTATGGAAAACAGTATGGTGATTCCTCAGAAAGCTATCACTAGAACTATCATATGATCCAGCAATTTCACTACTGGATATATATCCAAAAGAAATAAATCAATATATAGAAGAGATATCTGAACTTTCATGTTTATTTCAGTACTATTCACAATAGTCAAAATACAGACTGAACCAAAGTGCCCATCAAAGGATGAATGAATTTTAAAAAGTGGTATATATACACAATGGAATATTATTCAGCAAAGAAAAAAGAATGAAATCCTGTAATTTACAGCAACATGGATTGGATAAAAGTCATTATGTTAAGTGAAATAAGCCAAGCACAGAAAGACAAATATCCCATGTTCTCACTCATATGCAGGAGTTAAAAAAGGGGATTTCATAAAGATAAAGAATAGAGGCCTCTGGCCTGTACCAGAGGCCAGGAAAGGTGGGACTGGGGGTGGGATGGTTGATTAATGCCTACAAATATACTTCCAAGTAGAAGAAATAAGACCTAGTGTTTGATAGATTAGTAGGATGACTATAAATTAATCTATTGTACATTTAAGTATAGCTAGAAGAGAATAACTGGAATGTTCCCAGCAGAAAGAAAAGATAAATATTTAAAGTGATGGATATCCCATTACCTTAACTTGATTGTTACACATCATATGAATGTATCAATTATCACACATACTCCAACAATATGTACATCTGTTATGTGTCAGTAAAAATAAAATAAATGAAATTAGGAAGCTCATAGGAAAAAAGAGACAGATGTCTATTTACTTATTTATTTTTAATTGACAAATAATAATTGTATATATTTATGAAATATCATGTGATGTTTTGATATATATGTGATACATTGTCAGATGCCTTTCTTCTAAGCACAGTTGTAGATTAACCCAAATGAATTACCTGAGCCATGAATTCCATCGACTCCTTTTGAGATGACAATCACCTCAGTTAGGACTCATCATGTGCTGTCAACCTCAGGCACTTCTAGACTGCTATTATATGTGTAAATTGGGAAAATGTTACTCATAAAACCATATTATTTCACATATGTCTTTCTAATTTTGTTGTATGCTAAATTGGACTCTTGCCTTTTAAATCAATTTAGTTCAAAATAAGATTAGAAGCCAATGATGAAACTTAGAATCTTAGAAGTCGTTTGGCTAAACATCAAACTAATCCATGGTGTTTCTTTGAACACTCCTATTATTTGCTCACTACCTCTTATGAGGTTGGCTTTAATAGCTCTAATCATTTTTAGTGCTTCATTTGCTTAGAATCCAAGGCTGTTTCATTATTATCACAACTCATGTGTTCTGCCAGAATCTGTTAAACTGCAGCAGGATAACTTATTATCTTTCAAGAAGGGTGAGATCACAGACCCTTCACAGTTCTCAATGCAGAAATCAGAAAGTGAGTGGCTTTGGAAAGGAGAGTAACTGGAAAGGGGCTCAATGGAAGGAACTTTCTGTGGTTCAAGGTTGAAATTGAAACATCTTAATTGAAATGTTCTATTTCTTTATTTAGGTTGTATCCACAATTGTCAAAATAGAACACTTAGGAAATGCATTTATTGTATGTAAATTATACATCAATTTTTTTTTTAATTCCTAAAAGTTCACCCTGAACTGAATGGTATTATACTATTTCCTCTTCTCAGGAAATTTAAAACTTTTTTGGGGGGAAATTAGCACCATCAGTGTATACAATGTTAAATGACAAAAATAAATAACATTTACGTATAGTTAGCAATTACCAAATAATTATATGAATGACAATTCAGAGGAAGAAAAACATTTGTCTGATATAAGAGCTTAAATGATCAATATCTTCATAAGCTGTAATGTTTATTATTTAGGTTTTGTGAAATATCTAAAACTTTAAGTAGGAAAATTTCAGTGAAGATTCTCAAATGGCTACTGAGAGAAGCCCGAGCAATATGTTGACAGATTTTTGTAGAAAAGAAAATAGAGTAACTTGCAAAAATATCCAAAATATACTATTGACAAATTGAAATTATATATATATACACACACATATATATACAACACATATATACACACATATGTATAAACACACACATGCATATATATATATATATATATATATATATATATATATTTTTTTTTTTTTTTTTTTTTTTTTTTTTTTTGAGATGGAGTCTCTCTGTGTTGCCCAGGCTGGAGTGCAGTGGTGCAATCTCAGCTCACTGCAAGCTCTGCCTCCCAGGTTCATACCATTCTCCTGCCTCAGTCTCCCGTGTAGCTGGGACTACAGGCACCCACCACCACGCCAAGCTAATTTTTAGTATTTTTAGTAGAGACAGGATTTCACCGTGTTAGCCAGGATGGTCTCGATCTCCTGACCTCATGATCCACCCGCCTCAGCCTCCCAAAGTGCTGGGATTACAGGCGTGAGCCACTGCGCCCAGCCCCACATTTTATTTTTGAAAAAAAATCAGTAATGACTTCATGCTAGAAAGAACAGAAAAATCTCGTTTAAAAAATTGTAGCTGAACAATTAACTTCTTTGGATAAAATGAAGTTTAGATGCACAAATAAAATGCCTTGATAAAGTGGGGCATTAAAGAAGACAGATATTATCATAGAAGTAGAGTTAGTGCAATTTGAGTATATGAATATAAAACATGTAGGAAGGTAGAGATGGACTAAAAATTAGATGTGTAACGGAGGAAAATATTAATTTCAAGTGAAATTAATATTGTTCCAAACAAATTCTAGAAGAATCTAGTGTAAAGATGCTTATGAGCACTTTGAAAATAAGATGGTTTCATGAAACCCATTCAAAGCACACACAGATAGTTTTAGTTTCTTTTTAATGAACTAATCTAAGCCAGTGATTTTCAAACTGCAGGTAGCAACATACTTAACCAATACTTAAAAGAAAATAAAATAGGAGAGAAAATATCAGAGTGCCTTGCAGGTGATCAAGGAAAGTATTGTTTTCAGAAGATCTTGTTTCCATTTAAAACGTACGTATGTGTGTTCTGCTTCACAATTAAGATATATTTCTTATTTGGGGTTCAAGGTCAGAAATATTCACAAGCTTCTGTTCTAGATTGGTTTGCCTATAATATTTGAATAAGAAATGGAGAGACAGATACTATAGGAAGGAAGGTACCTACTATAACTAATTTGTTCCACTTACAAGCTTGGGGTACAAACTGTCATTTTTAATATATAAAACTAAGTGGCTCTGAGTCACCTTTTCTACATGCCCACATTCCCTGATAAATAACAGGATTCTAGCACTTTCTTAATCCAAGGTATTTGTCCTCATTAGTATCTTTCCTGAAACGGAAAAGCAGATCATCTGAGCAGCCTTTTGCCTGGGGGGAGATCCCTTGCTTGTTTCTGTTTTATTCTAAAGGCTGTGCAGTATAGCTGTGGGACAAGGGCGGTGGACCAATCAGCTGAGGTGACTGAATCATAAACCAGAACTGCTGGTCTAATAGTAGCTCCTCAGCCTTTCGGGAAAGGGAGAAGATGCCTTTCTTTCCCAGAGTTATGTTAAGCTATAGTCACTCCATGCCACCCAAGGCCTGAGCCTCCTGTGTTAGGGCATTTCACAAGTACAGCATTTTTAGTTCTTTACTTCTACATAGATATCTATTTTCTCCATGCATATGGCATGGCTAGATGATCTATACCATTCACATGCTGTGCTCAGACACAGGCCTCTCCTACTACTCCAGCAAGAGGTTGCTACTCTTCCTATGTCCAAAGAACCAATCTTACTGATTACTTGTGATGCTGGAGAGGAGATACAATCTTAAGTTTGGCATTGCCATCATGGGGTAGTGCTGGCAAGGGGCATCCCAGAGACTTGGTGACAGTATTTCTCACTCCTGGCTTATCTTCAATGTCAAGAGCACCTCTTGTCCCAACACTGAATCTATTCTTCCAGCTACAGACTTCATACTTTGGGCCCTCAGGATCTGGATCCATAGGAAGTCCCTGCCTCTGCTCCCCACTTCCAGAAGGGCAAGATCCAC
This sequence comes from Homo sapiens, assembly GCF_000001405.40. NCBI lineage: Eukaryota > Metazoa > Chordata > Mammalia > Primates > Hominidae > Homo > Homo sapiens. The sequence goes on along the minus strand of NC_000004.12, from coordinate 89,665,275 downwards.
TACAGTTCCTGTCACAGAATTATTGACAATTGGAATATTTTCTTTCTTCTGTCCATCGTCTGAAATAGTTTGGATTGTTGAGGCATTCTCTTTGCTCTTTAGTCTTACCCCTAGCGTTTTACACTTTGACAGATCTTTCTACAGCTGGAGGCAGCATGCTTTGCTGGTTTTTTTTCTGTCTTCAAATTGCCCAGATTTGAAGTCAAACCGTGAATCTAATACTTCAAAGTTATATATCTATGTAACTTTGGGAAGCTGGCTTCTCTGACTTCAAGTGAGGTTGTTTATGTTTAAATATTAGAACCATAGTAGACATGCAGGAACTACTGGTTTCTTTCATTTTATATTTTGTTATCCCAATGTGAATGCATGATAGAAGATCACTAACTAGTTGGTTTGGCTTAAATTTTGTTGGAAGAAATTTTTTCAACAATTAATGATTGATATTAAACTAGATACCATTCATTGTTCAGGAATTACTGTTTTGGTAAAAATCATGTCAAACAGGGAATTATCTTTAAATTGTTAGCAATGGTGAAGTCATCAGAAGCTAGTTTGGGCATGTTTAAAGGAGGCAGTTGGATAGAAATGTGTCATGAAAAAAATAGAATGTACTGTGCTTTGAAGAATGACAAAAAGGGATTATTCAAATAAGAATGTAATTACTATAAATATCAATCTTGGCTATAATTGTTATATTTCTTTCTGATCCTCTGAGATTGCTTTTTATTTTTTGAAACAGGTGGCTATTTTAATTCACCAGGTGAGTTATCACAGCCATCACCTTTCTGGACTTCCTCTCAAAATGAAGGAAAACTATTCCAACATAACGAAGGAAAACTGTACAGTCTGTTGAATTGTATTCTTGTGTCTCTCCTGAAAACTATAATGGAGGAATATATGGCTTCTCTTGACCTAAAGGTAGAGAATGGTAAAATCCATTTGTTGGCATTGTTTGCATTGTATATCTGATGCCAGTAGCTGGGGTAAGCCTTATGCACAGATGAAGTGTGCAGCTTTACAGCACTGTTTTGTACTAGGATTAGGAGAATATCCTGAGGAAATACATCTTTTCAAAACTCTGTAATGCAGATCAAAATAGTATTGGTTACCATATGGCCTGTAAAGCAATGCTGGCCCAGTTCTCTCTGTTCTGTAGATTAAACAAATAAACAACAACAAAAAAATCACACACACAAAATTTTTTTCAAGCTTAAAAATTTCTGCCATAGCCAGCCCAGGTACCTGAAATTCTACTTTCAAAGGTTCATTTATACATTAGAAGGTTTCTCAGTCTTCAGGTATCTTTAGCTAAAATGTAACAGCTCTGCTAGGCATGGTACATTGACTTTTAGCATCCTCCAACACCTGCAAAGATTATTCCCTGAAGTGATTAGCTAGGGAATGGACAAGGGACAACAACCATGATGACAGGAGGCTATGTACATTGGACTGAGGCAGCATGCATATTCCAGGCATTTGGTGGAGTAGGTGTGAGAAAGTAAGTCACATGAATTTGGAAAGGACACCCAAAAACAAACTTTTCCCGTCGCACGATTGTGTCTGGCTCTTGTCCTGAAAGTAGAAAAAGGCTAAGAAAATCACATTATACAATAGGGGGTAGAATAACTAAAAAGCTTCTTTAAGATCCTCAAGCAGAATGAGCTTATTAATATTTCAAATCTAATCTCCAAGAAAATTCATTATTAAAGGAAGACCCCAGGATGACTAAAGGCAGAAATCTTTTCCCTTGCCTGTAGGATTTCTACATAAATTAAATGAGATTCCAGCTGACTTGGTCTATCTGATCTGCCCAACATACCAAGGAGAGGGAAACCATGAAAACTCACCAACATTTCCCGGCAGCCCTTTGATCCTGTCCCCTGCCTCCACTCCAGGGACCCCCCAATTCTTGGCCCTTCAGTAAGTCCCCCTTCAGACTCATCCTGACCACTCCTCTAAAACTCAAGGACTGTAGCACAATATTCTCAAGTAACCACCAAAAAATGCTACATTTGTAATAAAGTCATATTATTATGCTCCTGCAAATAGCTTGCAGCTGTGTATTTCATACACTACCAAGTGTGATTAACCCTTCTTCAAAAAATTGAGTAACTTGCCAAACATTTATTATGGGAAGTGATAATGTTTCAAATTTTTTCTGCACTTTTATATTTTTTAATTCAGCATGATTTTGTTTTCCTGTTCTACTTTTTCTACCTTCGTTGGAATAATTTTTTACTTATTGTGCTTTTCTCTCTATTGTTTTAGAACTTAAATCCATTTCTTATTCTTTTAGTGATCATATTAATTTTTAATAAAAAATTAAACTTGTATTTTATTCTACATAACAACAATTAATATTAATCCTCCAAATACAACAAAAGCCTTATGCCATTTGTACTTTGCTACTCTCCCAAATTGCCACCTCACATATTTGAAAGTGTCTTGGATTTGAATTCAAAATTGTTACTAATTTGTTCATAATTCAATCAACACTTGCATAATGTTAACTATACATTTACTGATTTCTTGCTCATCACTATTTTTTGCCTTCCATTTTATCCTTCTCTTAGATTCTCTTTTCCTTTTGGGGAGTAAATTCTAAAATAGTAATTTCAAAAAGGATCTAATGGTAATGTATTAATTAGGGACATCTTTACCTACAACTAAGATACCCTTATAGCAGTAAATTAGATATAGGAATGTATTTGGTTCTTGTAACTAGAAGACTAGATGTAGATGGCTGCTATACTTGGTTCAGGGCTACATATCAGGCCACTATGTCTACAATTTTCTTCTCCTGATAGTTGCAGAAGAGATACCATTATAGATCTTAGGCAAGCTTTCTAGTTGGAAAAATGAGAAAAAGAAGAGTAGCATATGTATCAGTAGATCAGAAACTTTCCCATAATCCTTATGGCAAAATTCCACTTATCATTGGCTGGAATTATACATGGGCAATATGGGGAAAAAAGATGGGAAATGGCGATTGGGTCCACAAAGAAATGGCAATTTGTCCAACGGGCTAACTTTTAGATGATATACATACCAAAAAAAAAAGTATGCATTTTGTCCTCAACTTGAGTAATAATTTTTGTTTTTGTTTTTGGTATAGTATTTTAGCTTAAAGCTATATCTTGTCAATACTTTGAAGACCTGACTCCATTTTATTCTCCTATGCTGTGTTGTTGATGAGAAGGCTATTGCAAATTTAATTTTTGTTTCTTTACAGGTAACCTATATTTTTGTTGGTAGTGATGGTCATTCTGAAAGATTTTGGAGCTTTTTTATTCTTAGGTGTTAGGAGTTGAACTTTTCTCCTAAAATAGGCTCAAGTCCTAATCTCTAGCACCTGCAAATGTGACCCTCTGTGGAAAAAAAAAAAGTTTTTGCAGATATAATCATATTAAGAGAAGGTCATACTGAATTAGGGCAGAACCTAATCCAATGACTGGAATCCTAAGAAAAGGGAATTTTGAATATAGGCACACACAGGGAAAATGTCATGTTATGACAGAGGCAGAGATTGGAGTGATGTGTCTGCAGGTCAAGGAATGCCAAGAATTTCTGGTTAACCACCAGAAGGAAAGGGCAAAGAAGGATCCTACCCTAAAGCTTTCCGAGGGAGCAGCAGTAGTGAATCAGCACCTTGATTTCAGACTTCTTTCCTTCTGAACTGTTAGAGAATAAATTTGTTATCTCAAGCTGCTCAGTTCATGGTAATTTGTTATGATAGTTCTAGGAAACTAACACATTAGGTTTCTAAAAGTTATCTAGGACATGTCTAATTATAACTCCTATTTTATAAATCCTATTTAACACAATGTAAACCCTTTAAATTGGAGGACTGTGTTGATAGCAGCCTTTGCTGAATAATCCTGGTTGTTGTTCTAGACGTCCTTCCTGCTTTATGTTTTTGTTTATTCTGAACATGGAATTTCTCTGGGAAATAAGCTGCCCTTTCCCATCCAATACCTTGTCACTGCGTACATTCTGGCTGTAGCTTTCTCTGTCCTTGTTTTTTTTGTTTTGTTTTGTTTTGTTTTTTTACCATTTGATCCTGTCTACTTTCTAGCTTCTAGAATTTTTCACAATTTCTAGCCTAGCGTTGAAAAACATCCTTGTTTTTCAGGTTTATTCCCTATAATTATATTTTCTTTCTGTTACATCAGTAGAATTGGCTGGCAGAAAAGTGAATGAATGTGCATTGCTCAATCTGTCATTTTGAGTCAGGCCACTGATTTTTTAAAATTTATTTATTTATCCTAGTTAATTTTTTCCCATAAGGCCTTTCAAACCATATTGGCATTAGAAGCTTTTATGTTATTTTTTCACTTTGTCTAGGGTCCAAGCATAATTTGTGGCTGCCTCTGAAAATAAACAAGGTAGTTTTTCCCTCCATGGCAGAATTATTGATTGGTTTTACTCAAGCTGAAATTCTAAAAATCTCATTCATATCGGAACTAGAGGGTGTATGGTACTGGGATAAAATCTGTTACCTAAGAGTCACCCCTAATGTCTTTTAGTGTGCCCAGGTTTAAATTTGCTATGTTCTAAACTAGTCATGTGTATCATGTAAGCCTTAAATTTGAGAGAAGGCTAACTTGTCTTCACTAGTAATACTGCTGACGTAGGTGTTTTTGCAAATGCCACAAATAGTCCGATTAGATTTTGTGGTTTATAGAAACACATACACACAAATACAGAATTACAATTCTTCCAGTATTTTTTCCTAAGGCAAATTTAGCACTGCAGAAAGGTCCTCAAGTTGCACTTACACAGGCAGATAAACTTGTGTGTGTAGCACAGTCCCCAAGATAATCTGCTTAATTAGCTGGAATCAGTTGAAACAAGTGTAAAATGAACATGGAACTAAGGATTTCAAAGGTAAAACAAACTGACAATATACACAAGGAATTGAGCAGATTTTACCTCTCATTTTTATTTCATTGTGTGTGTGTTTTTTTTAATTTTTATTTTTTTAGGAAAACTTTTTCAGGGATCTCCATTATATTAGCTCTAGGTACATATTTTATATCTCAAACTTCAGCAGCAGGGCCTAAGAAAGTGGAAGAATAGATTAATTTACATTGAGATGATTTTTTTCCTTTTTTTCCCCCCTTGGCATTTATTTTACATTTCGCAATGCTTCAGTCAACCTGAAAAGTATGGCAAATAGGATAAAGAACGCCTATATAACTTCTACCCACATTCAACAAACAAATATTAACATTCTGGCATATTGAATTTGTATCATTTTGTCTTTTAATGTGTAAAAGTTAAAGACATAACTTGAAGCCTCCCTCTCACTCCCTGCGTTGTGATTTTCCCTCCGTCCTTAGAGGCAGTCACTGTTCTGAGTGGGTTCTTTCCATTCATTTTTCAACTTTTCTTCCTATGCATTTCAAAAGTTTCTCTACTTTCCCTCTTTATTCTTCACTCCTTAAATGGATATATACTTTGTAATACATATTCCTTACACCTATCTTCCTCCCAGAGCAGGCAAGGATCTTGGCTTTACCACCCCAATCCCCATTCTGCCCAAACGAATCTGTTTTTATTGACATGTATTTCAGTTTCACCTTTTGTAGCTCTAAATCTTTTATTTTGTCATCAGTAGTTAATTAAATTTGCCAACATATTTTACCAGTTTTTATATTCACTATTTTTTCATGCTTCCTATTATTTTTCTCTAGGTTTCATCTTCTTGCTATAATACATCTTTTGGTCATTCTTTCTGGAAAAGCATGGTTAGTAAACTCTTTTAGTTTCCGTGTATCTGAAAATATATTTTCCTTTCCCTCCTGCTTAAAATATAATTACTTATTTACAGCATAATTATGCATACTCTATACAGTGTAATAGAATCCTGGGTGGACAACTGGCATCCCTCAGCACTTTAAAGGTAAATTATCATTGTTTGGGGGCACACTTGGTTATACCTGAGAAGACTACCGTTAGTTTAATTACGGTTGTTTTGTGGAAATCTTTCTCCTCTGATAGATTTAAGGGTGTCTTTTTTTTTTCTTTATTTTTGATATTCTGAAGTTTCAGTAGGATGTGTCTGGTAGACTTATTTTTATTTTTCCTTCTTAGCCCTCAAAATGAATTGCCAAAATTAAGACTTATATACTTAATCAAATCCGGAAAATAATTATTAAAATTTTGAATTCTGTTCCTCTCTTTTAAAGCTAAAATAGAATGTTTTATTAATTGTTTAGTGTTAGCTGTCTTTCTTAAATTTTCCTCATATGGTCAGGAATATTGGTTTGCAGGCTAATATTGACTGGAAGTTTCCATTTCAATTTCATCCCTCCAGTCTCCAGCAGAAGTTTTACAGTTACTTCTGCCTAGGAACCAGTGCAGAACTGGTGATTTTGAGTTCCCGTGCCTCAGTGACTGATGTTAACAATATCTCAGACTAGTCATTGAACTAGTAGGCAGTTTCACTCAGGTGGTAACTGAGAAGCTTCCGCCTACTTCCTCCTCCTCCAGCCAGTGCAGCAGGGACCTTTCCAGAGTTTTCTTCCCCCTAAATGAAAGACTTTGGTGTTAAACAGTGAAGAGGGCTCTGTCCCCTATCCCACCGGAGATGGATTTAGTTTCCATCATCCCATAGGATCAACATTTTTTGGTGGCAAAGGCTCACTTCTGGCCCCACATCCTGGCAAGCTGAATGTTCTGTCTCATTTAGCACTGTTTCAGTTCCATTTCTGGTCTGCAAAGATCTTTGTCTTGTTTCCAAAAATGGTTGTCTTGGCTGATGCATTTGGAAAACAATTTTCTATTTATATAAAAGTGACTTAATTATATTTAAAACTATATTGTACACAAATACATGTATATACATGTACTTTAGATTTGCAATGCTAAGAACAGAACACTCAAATTAACATTTTTAAATGTATTGTCTTTCTGTACATCATTATTTTAAAAACATACACAAAGTCCCAGAAGCAAGTATGCTTCTTCATTCTTAAATAAGGAAATCTGTGTTGACTGTATGTTCCTTTAAGGTATTTGAATACAAATCAACTGGGGGAAACTCACAATCAGATGTGAAGCATTTCACTCATTTTCACATTCAGCAATTAATTGCTTATTTCTATGGCACTGAAAGTCTACTGTTTTCACTGAAATACATAGTGCCATCTACTGGTTCAATTGTCGTTAAAAGGACAGAATCAAGCAAAATTTGTGTTGGTGGGAACTCACATCACGCCTAATTCCATTCTCTTCTTTTCACCCTCATATGAGAGCTGAGTGAAGAGCTAAAAGCTGACCCCTGATCTAAATCACACAGCTGTTTCAATTCAATAATGGTATTATCTTTATCAGTGACTGAGAACTCCAGGACTTGAAGCTCATTAGCTTTCTCCAACTTTTTTTTAAAGTATTTTTTTTAGTAGAAAAATTTTGTATTGAAATGTAATAAATTAAAGGCACCAAATAGTCTTTTATATTATTGCAACATAAGAAGAAATACTTTAGCTTCTAACAAAATAAGGTAGCAGGACATAGAATCTTTACTGCCACCATCATTAATGACTTGTTCCTCCTAGGAGAATGGTGGGGCTGTTAGTTGCTTGGTATATTTGTCAGTATAGGGCTCAGTAACAAGAAGGAAGCATCAGGCTGCATGGCTGAGGCTATGAATTGATTTCAATACTAACATAAAGAAAACAGCTAAGTTAGACGAAAATGGCATATCCCAAATAAAAGTTTAATTTATATGTTAGTGTATTAAAGCTTTAGAATATAATGGTAACTTTCCTATAAAAATCATGTCAGTAAATATTTACAAGACAGGTTTATTATATCTCAATTGGATCTGAGTTTGGCTGACAGTCTCAGATTCAACCCCCTGATAATTATCTTCCTGGGGTCTGCAGCCCCCACAGGCACTTTCATTGTTCACTGAATCTTAAAATTATGGAGACCTTAATATTTCAGTTTGTCAATAATACAGTTTCTAGGCAACCATATTACAATTCCTCATTACAATCTCCAGACATAATCAGCTGCAGAGTTTTAGATCCATCTAAAACTGATTAGCAATTAATCAAATAAATTTCAGATTAGAGAATCTCAAAGACTCAATATTGCTTTTAACATAAATGTTTTAAATCTCAGTTTCTAATAAGGCAAAACTTAATTTTATTTTCAAAATAATTTAATTTAAGGCATCACAATAATGGATTAATTTAAAAAAATTTTAAAAACCTTTTCCCTCAGCTCATAATCATCAGGGTTGTGTGTAATAATTCTATGGGAAAACAGAATATTAAAAATATCAGCTGCTTGAGTTGAACATTGATCATTCTGATCACTCAGTCTACATTACAGACACAAATCAATATTTGAAGAAGAAAATCATTTCATAATTTCGGGCTAATTAAGATGGTGATAAAGTTCAGTTTGCTGTTAAAGTTGAGTAAAATATGCAGTAAACACTAATATGTAGGAGGAGAAATAATTGAACTACTATAATAACTACATCTTCATCAAACGCTGGATACAAATTTTATTAAATGCATGAGGGGATAGAAAATGGGTGTAGAACAGTCAAGACTCAATTTTCTCTTCCAAGGAAGAAAATCTCCCAAGTAGTAGAAACTGAGACTTAGCAGTCAACAGCATAGAGTATAGCAGTGGAGTCCATGGGGGCTGAGCTGCACACCTATGATTCATGCACAATATTTGCCACCCAGGTTAAAGAGCCCTCACAGACAACTTAAAATCAAAGTTGGTCCAGAAAAACACTATCTCAAGTGATATGAAGCTGCTACTGTCACTAGTCAAGCTAAGTCATCCAATAACGATTATCCAGGTTTTTCATTAAAATCAAACATTTTCCATACGGCAATGAGAGCTTTTGACTGGCAGTGTGTAATAGCACCACAGCTTTTGGAGATAAAGGTAATAAACACCAATGGAAATTATCATTTTAAAATGCGGGAGAAAAAGGTCATTTTGCAAATGTTGGTGTCAGCTATGGGAAGCCAATGAGAAATTCCTTACTGACATTCTAATTTCTCTTAAGTTAATTAATTTTCTCAAGTTAAATTAAAAATGAAAATTTAAAGGGCCTATTATTTGCAAATGATACAATGAAACAAAACAATATGTGACAAGCCTTTAAATAATAGTCCTTTGTGAGAACAGGAGGTTGGTAAATAATTGTGCATTAGAGAAACTATATTCATGTCTAACTAGTTTCCTTAATTTTGCAGTAACTAAATTGTCACCTATGACCCCCCTTTCTGCTGTCTATCCCTGTTATAAACTGAATTGTGTGCCCCTAAAGTTCATATTCATAACCCCCAATGTTAATGCATTTGGAGATATGGTCTTGAAGGAGGTAATTAAGGTTAAATGAGGTCATAAGGGTGGCATGCAATAGGACTGACGTCCTTATAAGTAGAGGAGACACCAGCGTTCTCTCTCTTCATGTGCACAAAGGAAAGGTCCTGTGAAGACACAGAGAGAAGGTGACTGCTTATGAGCCAAGGAGAAAATCCTCACCAGAAAGCATCCCTGCAGGCACCTTGATCTTGGACTCCCAGTCCTCATAACTATGAGAAAATTAATGTCATATTTAAGCCACTCATCTATGATATTTTGTTATGGCAGCCCGAGAAGAATAATACAACCCCAAAATTCCATATTGATCTAATTGTGTACCAGTAATACAGAAGGCAAAGTATTAGATGAAAACCATTTAGAAAAATCCAAAATTATTTTTTGAAAGTGACTAACAGTTAACCCGGCTATTTCTACTTGTTTTTTTTTCTTCTTCTTCTTTCCCTTTTTCCTCCTTCTCTTAGTGTCTTCCTAGTAGAGGTAATGTTATTGTTGTCATTATTGGTATCATATAGTGCTACAAACTTTAATTAATGACTCATATTAACGCTGTAGCCACCCTTTGCCAGTTTTTAGACATGTAACAGCATGGGAACTAATTTTTGTAAACAATCTACTACATACTATTTTGTTCTAGGTTTTTGATATATGATGTGTTTTTTCAAATTCTGAATTGTCATCTTTATTTTTTTAATTAATTTGGTTTTTTTTGATACAGAGTCTCACTCTGTTGCCCAGGCTGCAGTGCAGTGGCGTGATCTCAGCTCACTGCAGCCTCTTTCAAGCAATTCTCATGCTTCAGTCCCCTGAGTAGCTGGGACTACAGGCATGCACCGCCATGCCCAACTTATTTTTTTATTTTTATTTTTGTATTTTTAGTAGAGATGGGGTTTCACCATGTTGGCCAGGCTGGTCTCAAACTCCTGACCTCAAGCAATCTGCCCGCTTTCGCCTTCCAAAGTGCTGGCATTATAGGTGAGAGCCACCCGGCCTGCCTGTCATGTTTACTTTAAATGTCTATTTTAAATATAAGAATAAATTATCCTGGTTAAACACTTAGAATTTGAGGGAGGCAGAAATCTACACAATTATGCTTGTAATTGACCCCAGAGACTGTGGCCTTTGCACTACACCAGTTTGCCTCAGGAACACAATTTTCCCACAGTATTTCCAAATTTACATGTTAGCTGGGCTGATTGTGTTGGCTCATTTAGTTGGAAGGTAGCACTAATGGGTCCAGGTGCAGAGTTTCGATTTCTGCAAGCCACGATTAGCTTTATTATACTACTTGATCACAATCGTACCAGAATCTGATTTTTGGTAAGATTTCTGGTGGAAATGAAAGAAAGAGAAAAAGAAAGAAAGAAAGAAAGAGAGAGAAATAAAGAAATCAACTTATTTAAACAAAATACATTGAAAGTGCAAATATAAATATATAAATATGTTCCAGAAATATATATTTCTAAAAAAAATTTAATTTCTTAATTGTATATCATTTTGTTTTTGAAAATATAAGTATCCTTGTGTCAAAACTGCTTTTTGAGGAAAAAGTTGTCCACCAAGTGTTTTCTTAAATGTATAATGATAATTCTTAAAAAATAATCAACAATACTTTGTTTCAAAACTACAGGTTTTTAAAATAATATTTGTTTTTTGGATCTTTGTGGTTTTACTTAGTTATCAATATTTCTCCAAATTGATTCTTTTTGTCTAAAAATGGAAGTGTAGATATTTCTAAAATTCTGTTAGTACAGAAAGATATTTAAAAAATCAATAATACTATGAACAAAAAATGGTTTTATATCAATAAATTGGAACCAGGAAAAAAGCAAAAAATTTAAATTATTCAATCTATTCTAAAAATTCTCAGAAAATAAATAATTATTAAGTTAAAGAAAAAATAAGCCAAAGGGAAAATACAATAAACTAGCTAATGTGGTTTGTTTGGTTTTTGTTGGGGAAAAAATTTATGAGTTTTCTAAATATAGCTAAGTAAAATACTTAAACATTTAGATATTGACATTGAATTAATTATTATACACTGAAAGCTAAAAGCAATACCTAGAATATTAGCTTTTTTTGTTTGTTTTTGCAGGATATGAGGGAGTCAGTTCTAGAACAGATTCTGGTGACAATGAATGTTTTTCTAGTACAGTGTTAAATGTTGCCTTCCAGTTGTCAGTTTATGTAATCTTTTTTCATTAACTTCTGGAAAATTTTCCCATTGTCTTATTATTTCTGTGTCTTCTCAATGGATGTGCTTTATGAATATGCTAGGGTAGGCAAAGACCTGAAAGACAGCAATTGCATTTCTTACTGGCAAGTGAATTAAAGACATCTAAGTCCTTGGAATTTATTACAGCAACTAAGCTAAGCAATGCATCAAAATTGAAAGTTCTATGTACAATTAGAGACAAATACCCTGCCTCGACCACATAAACATAAACCTGAGATTTAAACTCAGGCTAGAGGATATTTACAACTATTTTGATCTTGGGACTAAATATTCATTAAAGATACTTACAGCTTCTTTGAAAATGTCATCATCCTATTCAAGCAGAGGTCACATTCCCACATGAATCCAAATAGGTCAAAGGGCAAGATATGGAGCACAAATGCCGGGTTTAAAATGGATGTGCCTAAAGCCACATACAATAGCATGAGGTTTTTCCATTCACTCTCTAGTGAGGCTTCTGAAAACAGGTTGTTGGGTCTATGGCTTAATGACTGCCAAAGATACTACAATACTTACTGAGCCGTGCCAACCTAGCATTTAAAACAATCCAGGTCAACGATCAGGGTGAATGCTGCCTTTAAAAAAGAAAAAATATTCCTTGGTCTATATACGCCAAAAAGCAAGAGACAGAGTAATCACTTAGAGCTGGGTTTAAAAAATAACTGTTAGTAATTTCAAAAATTGTCCAAGTAATGGTTCCGTGAGAACTGATAGTGAAAGCTTTTAAAAATAGTGCTTCAGAATTAAGAATTATTTTTTCTGTCAGCAGAGAAATATAAACAATATATTAAAAATAAACAATATATTACTGTTGCTTGGGTTAAAAAATAAAGCTTCGATTTCTCATTATAGAAGGTACATTAATAAAGCTAACTCTACAACTTTATAGTTCACTTTAACACCTAAAAAAATTAAAATGACTGTAAAAGAAAAACAGTACATAGCAAGCAAACTAAGATAAATACAGCATTCAAGTAACATACATTGGCCTCAGGGAACACATATAGATAGGCACACATTGTTCAAGTCAATCAAGTCATATTTTCAAGCCCTTAGCATTGAGTCAAGGAGTGCTACTTATCCAAGTGATTTTTTGTTAATTTTGTGTTGGAGCAGTACTGCCCAACTCTTATGGTGATCTGGGAGACAATTGCCAAGGATAGACCTAATTTAAGAATGTTTCAAAGTTTGGTTATAGACCTTGGCATTTGGTCAAAATCTAATATTTGGGTTCATCTTTGGTTTTATTCTTTGAAAGTCCAAATAGCCAAATGCCTGCTGCAATATTTCTGTCATCTCCAACAGGCGTGTGATGAATGTGATCAGATAAATGTGATCACATATACTGTCATCATATCTAAGCAAATAACAGTGATACAAAAAAGGAGCAAGAATATGCACTTCAGATTTATTGTTAATGTCTCATTACCCACTTTAAAATATAGGTAATGGGGTGGAAACCTATTAGTAAAATTAAAGTTATTATTTTACTAATACTAATAAGTATCTTATTTAGTAAAATAAAAATTTACTAATTTTTTTTTTTTTGAGATGGAGCTTCTGTCACCCAGGCTGGAGTGCAATGGCACCATCTTGGCCCACTGCAACCTCTGCCTCCTGGGTTTAAGCGATTCTCCTGCCTCAGCCTCCCAAGTAGCTTGGATTACAGGCGTCTGCCACCAGGCCCAGCCAATTTTTATATTTTTAATACAGACGGGGTTTCACCATGTTGGTCAGGCTGGTCTCAAACTCTTGACCTCAGGTGATTGACCCACCTCAGCCTCCCAAAGTGCTCGGATTACAGGCATGAGCCACTGCACTGGACCAATTTACTAATTTTTACTAATAAAATAATGTACTAATATTTACTAAAATAACTAATATTTACTAATAAAATAATTATTAATTTGAAGTATAAATGTATTATTTATTATTGCAGTAGTAAAATGGAACAATAATTCATGATGGTTATGAAAGTTGTTGATTATATTTATGGAAACCCTTTTGAGAACTTTTATATAGTAAAATTACTTTAGAAATAAATTGACCTTTATGAATGTTAAGAAAAAATATATTACATAGATAATTTTAGGAAGAAAATTATATTCTTTTGGAGTCAGTGAACTACTATAAATAATTCCAACACGAATATATCAGAAAAATAATGACTAGGTTATATTATATTTCTAATCTTTGTAGAATTGAATTATTTGGGGACTAGTGTATATATTTATATGAAACATTAGATAAAATAACCTCTAAGAACTGTGTTTAATATTTAATTATTTAACCCACTGTATTTAATATTTAATTGCTTAATTCTCATTTTGTTTGGAAGTCTGTGAATAAAAAGTTCTATTTGGTTGCTTTTAAGTCTGAGAAAAGGTGATTTAACAGACAAGTACTAACATCACTCGTGACAGACAGCAACAACATCATGATGAGTAGCCTAAGCAGATTGAGCCAAAAGATAACTCACATCAATTTAGTGTGTCAAGTGCCGGTGACTAGAAGACAATCTTGCACTTCCCAGTACAGAGATATTATTTGTTCCTGCACTGTGAAACCAAACAACTAATTATTAAAATAATAGATGTGTAAACTAAAATGTCAAAATTATTATTCTACCTTGGCCGATTAATTGATTTTTGACACTTAGTTGTTTGGCACATTTTTGAAATGTGTATGTATCACACTTTTTTTTGAGGGAGATATATATTAATATACATATGAAATGAAAAATGAATAGACATAGTTGCACAAAATTTCTTTTTAACCATGATGGAAATATGTGCTTATTATACAACATCTTGAAAATTCTGAAGAAGTTAAAAAATATAACAAACACATTTTGCATCCCTACAAAAGTACAGTATATAATTCTAGTCTTTTTCTCCATATGTGTAATTCACAAATACACATACACACTCAAACACACACATGAACACATTCACCATCCTTGGATTTTATAGATAAAAACTTAAGAACACTAAATGAATACCTCTTGATAGAATATTTTTAATTTTTTAAACAATTTTTTGCATTCTTAAAAATCCATCTCTCCTTCTGTTTACTAAATTGTCTGAGAAACTTGCACATCTTTACAAGAGTATCTCTTTACTCTGCTTTCCCAAAAAGGAATAGAATGCAAAATTTCCCATTGTCATGGTAATTCACTAATTTTTACATGATTATTTTTGTTGTAGGCCAAAAGATGTATCTGAATGTGAGAGTTGGTGAAAGCAATTATAAATTATTTTATATAAATTAATCGGACTGACTGAAAAAAACAGATATTTGATCTTGTGGGTATTTCCTTTTGTTCTTCTTTACAATTAAGATGAAATATACTATATCTGAATAGGTAAATAAACACATGTATTTATAAACAGGAACAGCTTAGTTTATATTTGGACTTGAATCAAACTTTGCTGCTATAAAATTGAACATGAATTAATAGTTTTCCTTAGTTATTTGATACAAGAGAATCATGGTCATTTCTCCCAAATAGTGTTGTAGTGTTATTCCTTCTGAATTTGAAGGACCATTCATAAAAATAAAGATCAGTGTAAAAGATTCACATGAGATACATCATGCTTTGTCTGCCTAGAAAAAAATGTAATGCTTATTCTAATTACAGATATTGCAATTTTATACCCATTTTCTCCTTGCCATTGCTTATACTATTTTTAGCAAGTTGTAACTACATTCTCAGCTTCAGTATCTAGCAATCATAGGCCAGATATAACTGTATCATTGTGAATGGGGTATCTCTGCAGATTTTTTAAGGTGACATATTTCCCTTAATTTTTCTCCAGGCACCCAAAAATTGATGGGTTCTGAGATCTCTTGATTTCCATTGAACTTTGTATTTCAACTGAACTTCACATTTCCTCTGTATTTCATTACGTGATTGTGGGATTTGAGGCTTTTGGGCCAGAGAGCTCTGATGGAGATTTCTACAGCTGTGTATCAATTTATATTTCATTTCAGTTAACATTTTAATCAACAGAACTATTTCTCGCATCCTTTAAAGAGTATTTTTCTTCTAGAGTTTTTATGGTTTTAGGTCTAACATTTAAGTCTTTAATCCATCTTGAATTAATTTTTGTATAAGGTGTAAGGAAGGGATCCAGTTTCAGCTTTCTACATATGGCTAGCCAGGTGTCCCAGCAACATTTGTTAAATAGAGAATCCTTTCCCCATTTCTTGTTTTTGTCAGGTTTGTCAAAGATCAGATAGTTGTAGATATGTGGTATTATTTCTGAGGGCTCTGTTCTGTTCCATTGGTCTATATCTCTGTTTTGGTACCAGTACCATGCTGTTTTGGTTACTGTAGCCTTGTAGTATAGTTTGAAGTCAGGTAGTGTGATGCCTCCAGCTTTGTTCTTTTGGCTTAGGATTGACTTGGCAATTCAGGCTCTTTTTTGGTTCCATATGAACTTTAAAGTAGTTTTTTCTGTGAAAAAAGTCATTGGTAACTTGATAGGGATGGCATTGAATCTATAAATTACCTTGGGCAGTGTGGCCATTTTCATGATATTGATTCTTCCTATCCATGAGCATGGAATGTTCTTCCATTTGTTTGTGTCCTCTTTTATTTCGTTGAGCAGAGGTTTGTAGTTTTCCTTGAAAAGGTCCTTCACATCCCTTATAAGTTGGATTCCTAGGTATTTTATTCTCTTTGAAGCAATTGTGAATGGGAGTTCACTCATGATTTGGCTCTCTGTTTGTCTGTTATTGGTGTATAAGAATGCTTGTGATTTTTGCACGTTGATTTTGTATCCTGAGACTTTGCTGAAGTTGCTTATCAGCTTAAGGAGATTTGGGGCTGAGATGATGGGGTTTTCCAGATATACAAATCTTGTAATCTGCAAACAGGGACAATTTGACTTCCTCTTTTCCTAATTGAATACCCTTCATTTCTTTCTCAAGCCTGATTGACCTGGCCAGAACTTCCAACACTATGTTGAATAGGAGTGGTGAGAGAGGGCATCCCTGTCTTGTGCCAGTTTTCAAAGGGAATGTTTCCAGTTTTTGCCCATTCAGTATGATATTGGCTGTGGGTTTGTCATAAATAGCTCTTATTATTTTTAGATACGTCCCATCAATACCTAATTTATTGAGAGTTTTTAGCATGAAGGGCTGTTGAATTTTGTTGAAGGCCTCTTCTGCATCTATTGAGATAATAATGTGGTTTTTGTCATTGGTTCTGTTTATATGCTGGATTACATTTATTGATTTGCATATGTTGAACCAGCCTTGCATCCCAGGGATGAAGCCCACTTGATCATGGTGGATAAGCTTTTTGATGTGCTGCTGGATTCGGTTTGCCAGTATTTTATTGAGGATTTTTGCATCGATGTTCATCAAGGATATTGGTCGAAAATTTTCTTCTTTTGTTGCGTCTCTGCCAGGCTTTGGTATCAGGATGATGCTGGCCTCATAAAATGAGTTAGGGAGGATTCTCTCTTTTTCTACTGATTGGAATCGTTTCAGAAGGAATGGTACCAGCTCCTCCTTGTACCTATGGTAGAATTTGGCTGTCAATCCGTCTGTTCCTGGACTTTTTTTGGTTGGTAAGCTATTAATTAATGCCTCAATTTCACAGCCTGTTATTGGTCTATTAAGAGATTCAACTTCTTCCTGGTTTAGTCTTGGGAGGTTGTATGTGTTGAGGAATTTATCCATTTCTTCTAGATTTTCTAGTTCATTTGTGTAGAGGTGTTTATAGTATTCTCTGATGGTAGTTTGTATTTCTGTGGGATTGGGGGTGATATCCCCTTTATCATTTTTTATTGCATCTATCTGATTCTTCTCTCTTTTCTTCTTTATTAGCCTTGCTAGTGGTCTACGAATTTTGTTGATCTTTTCAAAAAACCAGCTCCTGGATTCATTGATTTTTTGAAGGGTTTTTTGTGTCTCTATCTCCTTCAGTTCTGCTCTGATCTTAGTTATTTCTTGCCTTCTGCTAGCTTTTGAATGTGTTTGCTCTTGCTTCTCTAGTTCTTTTAATTGTGATGTTAGGTGTCAATTCTAGATCTTTCCTGCTTTCTCTTGTGGGCCTTTAGTGCTATAAATCTCCCTCTACACACTGCTTTAAATGTGTCTCAGAAATTCTGTTAGGTTTTGTCTTTGTTCTCATTGGTTTCAAAGAACATCTTTATTTCTGCCTTCATTTGATTATATATCCAGTAGGCAATACCATTCAGGACATAGGCATGGGCAAGGACTTCATGTCTAAAACACCAAAAGCGATGGCAACAAAAGCTAAAATTGACAAATGGGATCTAATTAAACTAAAGAGCTTCTGCACAGCAAAAGAAACTACCATCAGAGTGAACAGGCAACCTACAGAATGGGAGAAAATTTTTGCAATCTACTCATCTGACAAAGGGCTAATATCCAGAATCTACAAAGAACTCAAACAAATTTACAAGAAAAAAAAAACCCATCAAAAACTGCGTGAAGGATATGAACAGACACTTCTCAAAAGAAGACATTTATGCAGCCAAAAAACATATGAAAAAATGCTCACCATCACTGGCCATCAGAGAGATGCAAATCAAAACCATGATGAGATATCATCTCACACCAGTTAGAATGGCAATCATTAAAAAGTCAGGAAACAACAGGTGCTGGAGAGGATGTGGAGAAATAGGAACACTTTTACACTGTTGGTGGGACAGTAAACTAGTTCAACCATTGTAGAAGACAGTGTGGTGATTCCTCAGGGATCTAGAACTAGAAATATCATTTGACCCAGCCATCCCATTACTGGATATATACCCAAAGGATTATAAATCATGCTGCTATAAAGACACATGCACATGTATATATATTGTGGCACTATTCACAATAGCAAAGACTTGGAACCAACCCAAATGTCCATCAATGATAGACTGGATTAAGAAAATGTGGCACATATACACCATGGAATACTATGCAGCCATAAAAATGATGAGTTCACATCCTTTGTAGCGACATGGATGCAGCTGAAAACCATCATTCTCAGCAAACTATCGCAAGGACAAAAAACCAAACACCGCATGTTCTCACTCATAGGTGGGAATTGAACAATGAGAACACTTGGACACAGGAAGGGGAACATCACACACAGGGGCCTGTTGTGGGGTGGGGGGAGGGGGGCGGGATAGCATTAGGAGATATACCTAATGTAAATGACAAGTTAATGGGTGCAGCACACCAACATGGCACATGTATACATATGTAACAAACCTGCATGTTGTGCACATGTACCCTAGAACTTAAAGTATAATAAAAATATATATATAAAATAAATAAAAATAAAAAATAAAATTTCACATTTGACTTTCAGCCCAAGATTTCAATGAAATCACTGAGTAAATGATATTTTAACTTTAAAAAAAAGAATATTTTTATTCTTTCATCTCCAAAAATCTCTCATCATCTATCCTCTCCTTTACATAGACATTTTTAAAAATGGTATTCATTAAGATTGCATTTGGAAAGTACAGTAGAAGAAAATGCTTTTAAGAAAAATCTGAAGTCCTGAAAATAAAATAATTAATTGTGGACTTTCTTTGGATTTAAATGTTACATTTCATTCAAATTAGAAAGATAGTTTTTGTTTGCTCATTCTTATCTGATAAAATTCAATAGGAGAAGAAAGAATATAATAATGCCAATGAATGGTAAAAATCAAAGTATTAGACTTGGTATAGTTTTAAAATACTAAAAAGAATATTAGAATAATAAACAGAATTTGATGATAAGTAGATATTGAAGAGATCTCAAAATCATATCATCCAACTATAAAGCTAAAGCTAGATTCTTTTCTGCAATATTTTGGCTGAAATATTTCAAAGTGCGCTGAAACACCATCTGTGAAGCAGGTTTGGACTTTAGTTAGAACTAACCACTCCCTCTTCTGTATATTTACAAAGCTTTGAAAAGGTCTTTGTCAAAGCCATAGAGAATACTTTTATGCCTGTATGTGATGTGTGTGCTTCTGGCTTAAGAGTGCATATGTAGAAATCACCTTTGTATTTTCAGGAGTTGTATGAGCACCTGGGATACAGGTGAATCAAAGAACCTTCCCCAGTAATAAGACCCATACATACTTGGGAGTCAGCATATTAAATTTCTAATAGCTGTGTTACAAAGCATTGTTATACTGGGCTGTAATTAGTGGCCCTTCATGGCCCTTGTCTTTATCTTGAGATAGTACATAAAAGCTTCTGGGTTTTTTTGTTTGTTTATTTGTTTTTGGTTTGGTTTTGGATTTTTTTTTTTTTTTTTGAGACAGGGTTGCGTTCTGTTGCCCAGGCTGGAGTGCAGTGGGGCAATCTCGGCTTATTGCAACCTCTGCCTCCTGGGTTCAAGCGATTCTCATGCCTCAGCCTCCCCAGTAGCTGGGACTACTGGTGTGTACCACCACACCCTGCTAATTTTTGTATGTTTAGTGGAGATGGGGTTTTGCCACGTTGGCCAGGTTGGTCTCGAACTCCTGACCTCAAGTGATATGCCCAACTCAGCCTCCAAAAGTGGTGGGATTACAGGCAAGAGACACCCCGCCTGGCCCCCCAAAACCGGTTTCACATAGATTTATGTCAATTGCAAATACTGAGGCAATCAATGACATTTTCCCCACTGTACATCTCTCTTCTACATACTAGACATCCCATCCCCTGTTACTCCAAATATATATCATGGGGCATGATTTCAATCATTTTTTAAAATCTGGTTCTTCTCATTTGAAAAAAAAACATACATGTCCAGATTACTAAGAAAAATGGTTCTCAAAACTGAAATAGTATGTATTTGAACATACAGAGCAGGACCCATCTGATTCTCAGAAACTAACTTCTGAGAGGCAGTGATCTGCTTATCGCATGTTATGTGTAAAATCTGACTGTACACTTCTTTGGTAAAGAGCAGTGTTGTACAAACTACCTTCCATAGGAGGTTAATAGGTGCTGTATTAACACACAACACAATTTATGTGCATAATCTGTTCTCTGGTCAAATTAGCTTGGAAAACTTTCAGTTAACTTGAGATTTAGAACATTTAAATTTAAGAGATTTTTAAATTGCAGGCCATGTTAGACCCTTAAGATGCTATTATAATCATGTCCAAGACTCCTTGAGGGATAAACACAGAGCAGTGCTTCCAAAATTTTTTGACACAAGACCCTTTTCATAGAGTGTCTTGCAGGACACATTTTGAATTAGAATATTGTTACTCTTGGTGCATGAAAAAGTATAGTTTCTTTCCAAGTATAGGAAATACAGAATCACCTGAAAGGTGAAATTGAAGTTATTCATGCAGTGTAAATCTGCCTAATTATTGTTGAAGATTTATGTTCCTCAGACCTAAATGCTGAACTGAACAGAAGATTAGGATGCAGCAGGAAAACAAGGTATTTAGGCAGCTGGTTCCCGAAAAATGAATCAAAAAGTGGCATTCCTCAAGGGGAGGCTCACTAAGAGCGAGAGCTAACTTTGTGTCTCAAAGAGGAAACTTTGGCCTTGCACCTACTAAGCTCCATGAAACTTTTGGGAGAGTAGGCAGGTGTCTCTACTTCGGGACAATGGTAGATTAAGGCAGAGTCTGAGTCTTGGGCTTGCATCTTCGAGACAAACTACTTCTGTATTTCTTGGTGTCTGGCCATTTCTCTTCTGTTTTTCCCTTAGTGTTCAGAAAAATCTCTGAAAATTCCAACCAGGCTCAATTTTGAGATGCATATGCAAAATAAATATTTTTGTCCTAGCTTGGATTGGAGGGGAACAATGCACGTTGTCATCCAGCCTCCTGAAGGCAGCTGTATTCTAAGTGGCTGAGTTCTAAGGAAAAGGCCAAATGTACTGACAATCTCATAAAATCTGTTTTTATCAGATTCCCTTCCCCACCTGGAGAATTCTCATTTGCTGCTAGCTTCTAAAGCCTGGATGATTCTATATTTATTAAGGAAAATGATTCCTTCACAGATTGTGTTACACAGAAATTCTAGTTTTCTTTTGCCTATGGGTTTTATTTGTTTGAGGCAACAACATTACCTTTTTGATTTACCTTGAGGTGACAACTAAAGGAAACAACACACCCTCCTAATTTTCAAATTTCTCCATCTCTGCATGTGATTATCTTTTCCTAATATGCTACTTAGGTTTTTGAAACAAAAGACAAGAATTCATAGTAATTCCTTTCAAATGCAGTTTCTGAAGATTTAGCCCATTCATCAAATCTCTATGTATCATTTGATTCTGCTTTTCCAGTGAATTTTTGTCATATCAATGAACCTTATCATCTGCAAATGTATTAAGTATACTCTCTAATTCTTCATTACAGGCATTAATAAAATGGCAACAGATTGGAATCAACATATTAATAGCTTCTCGGTATGATAATATAAGCACTTTCTTTCCACCTTAATTGCATTAGCATCTAGGCCATATTTCTTTGTATTATTCCTAAGGATATCTTGAGACACATTGTCAAATATCTTGTCAATTGCAGACACAAAGGGGAAATAAGAGAATTCAGGATCATATCATACATTTATTATTTAGTTGAGTAATATTCCCTACAAATATTAAAATAATTGAAATTGTATAGTACTATTATTACTTGCCCCATAACAGTTTTTCTGATCCAGCTCAGAAAATACCCATATGCCCACATAACACTCGTATAAGCAAATTTGTATTATTTATTACAAAAACTTTCCACTCAATTCATTTGAGAAAATTGATTTTCTAATGATACAGACTTGGTCCTATATAGATCTGACATTAAACTGGCTGCGAACCTTATCAAAGTTTTTTTAACTTCCTGGTCCTCACTTGCCTCATTTGTAAGTAGGAATTAAGAAAACAAATAAATTTTTAAAGTGTCTGGCATAATCCTGGTACTTAGAAAATTTTCAACAAACATAGGTTTCCTTACCAAAGTTATTATAATTATCTTAATAATATCTTTCTTAAAGAGAAGTCACTTTTCTGACTTTTAAATGACATCGATATAAATTCTAAGAGTTGTATGAACTGAGACTATAGTGAAATAGATGTGTTTATCAATGAAATCAATAGAAATTTGCAGTTTGAATTTAGGAGTACAACATAGAGTAACAATCAAAATAATGTAATACAGAAAATAATTACTGAATGCCTACCATATATTCCACCCTCTGTTGATATTAGGAGCAAGAAGGAAAGATTGAATCTCCTTTCAAGATGAGGTTCAAAGCATGATCCCTTCTATAGAGTAGACCACAATCTAGTGAAGATAAGTTACAGAAAGCAAATAATCGCAATTCAATATGCTGGGTTCTTTAAAAGTAGGTTGTGCATTTAAGTATTTGGGGTGCTATAAAATTGGTTCAGTTTACCAGGATTGAACGCCAAGATTACCCAGAGGAAAATACGGGAGAGGGGACACTTTTGCTGTTTTATATAGTGAGTAAAAATTTTAAGGAGAACAGTATTTTTTGCTTAGGAAATGATGAATTTGGTGTGGTTGGAGCATACGTCTGGCTTGAACTCTCTAAAAAATAGAATTCAAATATGTATTTGTTAATTTTCTGTAACATGTTTAGAACTGTAGGTGCCGTTAATTTACAGAGAAGACGTACTTAGCCATTTAGGAGAAATAATGCACTAGAATTTAGAGCTAATTATTCTGAACGATGAATGACAAACAGATCAAGAGGAATTTAAATGTCTAACTTGGGTGACTAAGCAGATGGTAGTTAAATCAACAGAATTAGGAAATTATTGAAAAATAGCAGATTTAGGGGATATGTGGAGCTTGAGCTAATCAGAGAAATAATCTGTAGTGTGATATCAGAAGCCATTTGCCAATTTAAGTTCCAGTGCTCATAAGAGATCGTAGCTATAGGTACAAGTTTTATATGCCATTATTTTATTATGATTAGATAAATTACATGTTTATTGCAGAAAATATGAAATGTATAAATAGAATATAAAAGCTTCTCCTAATCACATCATCTGTTAATAATTATAGGGGTTAACATTTTGGCAGATATTCTTCCAAAATTGAGGTTATAATGTTCTTTCTCTTTTTTCAATTAACTTTTTATCATAAGCATATTTCCATGTTCCTAGATATTAACTTAAAATTAGTTACGTGCTCTATAGTATTGTGTTGATAAAGCAGGATATTTCCCTGACCCCTTTGCGGGCAGGAACTGGAGTACATGAGCGCAAGAACTAGCCAGCTGCTTCGGTGCTGGTAGGGGCAAACTCCATTCACTCGGACCTGCTGCATTCCGCTGCTTGCTGGAGGGAGCAAGCAGAAGAATGAGTGCAGGAGCTGGGGCGAGCGTTTTTGGGCACCAGCAGGAGCAAACTCCGCACCGGCCCCGCAGCAGTTTCTAGGGAGATGCCTGCGACCCCTGGAGGCCCAGAAGTGTTACAGTACTCTTTTAGCTCTGCTGTCTGCGGACAGCTTAAGTATTAACTCAGCGGGCCCTCTGCTTTTTTGTGTGAGGCAGCTGCCTTCCTCCAGCGAGGGCAAAGGGTCAGTGTGACAGCCTTCTGTATCCGCATTCGTGGCACCCAAGCTTTTGTCCGGCAACCAGGAGAAATGAGGTTACAAAATGAATTGGACAATGGTAAATGTGGGGGATTTTATTGTTGTGGAGGTGGCTCTCAGCGGGAAGGGGAGCTGAAAAGGGGACAGGGTATGGAGGTAATTTTCCCCTGAAATCCGGCCATCTCTGGTCAGATTCTTCTCCAAAGTACCAATGTCAAGCTGTCCCCCTGAAGTCAAGCTGCTTCTCTCTGATGTCCAGCCTTAGTTCATTTGCTTCTCTTATCTCTGCCAGCTGAGGATGGGGTTTTCACTGGCACAGGATAGGGGGTGGGGCAGGCCATGGGTGATTTTGGAAAAGGCAACATTCGAGCAGGAAAATAGGGATGTAAGTTCTCACTTTGGGCCATGGTATCAGGATTTTCGGCTTGAGGGTGGGGTTTTTGCCAGGGACCCGCTCTCTTCTGCCCCAAATTTCCCTGCCTCCTGTCCCTATTATTATGTAAACAGACCTAATAAAAATTTATTTAATTCCATACTAATAAATATTTTAGATGTTTCAATTTGTTATAGTAAAATATTGGTATGTTTACTATCTTTTCATAAATATGTTGGTACATCTCTGATCTTTCTCTATTAACTACATTTCTAGAAGTGGAATTAATTTAACAAAATATATGAAAATTGGGCCGGGCACGGTGGCTCGTGCCTGTAATCCCAGCATTTTGGGAGGCCAAGGAGGGTAGATCACGAGATCAGGAGTTCAAGACCAGCCTGACCAATATGGTGAAACCCCGTCTCTACTAAAATACACAAAAAAATTATCCAGGCGTGGTGGTGCACATCTGTAGTCCCAGCTACTCAGGAGGCTGAGGCAGGAGAATTGCTTGAACCTGGGAGGCGGAGGTTGCGTGAGCCGAGATCGCGCCACTGCACTCCAGCCTGGGTGACAGAGCGAGACTCCATCTCGAAAAAAAAAATACATATATATATATGTATATATATATATACGTATATATGTGTGTATATATACGTATATATGTGTGTATATATACGTATATATGTGTGTATATATACGTATATATGTGTGTATATATACGTATATATGTGTGTATATATACGTATATATGTGTGTATATATACGTATATATGTGTGTATATATACGTATATATGTGTGTATATATACGTATATATGTGTGTATATATACGTATATATATGTGTGTGTATATATATGTATATATATACGTATATATACACACACATATATATACATATATATATACGTATATATGTATTTTTTTAATATGTGTATATACACATATATATATACATGAAAATTTAAGGAGATTGATGGAGAGTTTCAAAGTGCCCCGAGAAAGTTGGTCCTACTTTGTATTTACTTTTTCACCCATTTCACCAGACTTAATTATAATTTTGAAGTTGAAATTCATGTCTCCTGATTGGCTCTGTCTTTAACAATAATTTCTTTCCTTCCTTCCTTTCTTCCTTCCCTCCTTCCTTCCTTCCATTCCTCTCTCCTTCCCTCCCTCTCTCCCTCTCTCCCTTCCTCCTTTCCTCTTTCCCTTCCTACCTTCCTCCCTTCTTTCCTCCTTTCCTTCTTCCCTTTCTTACACTGAAAAGAAAATGTACGGTCATGTAGCAATAACCTCCCTCTTTACAATTATGTTAACTCTAAAAATAGATTTATCTTAGAAACTTGAGAAAATCTCTTTATGCCAAAGAAAATATTAATGTAATTTGGAGCTCTAAACCTAAATTTGGAAATTGTAGTGATTTATTTTGTGTGTCTGAGTCAGTGAGAGAGAGGGAGAAGATATATATGCATATTAAATATATCACTAATAAAATATATTGGTGGTCATTAAGAGGATAAACATGTAATATATTATAATAATGCTAATCATTTCACTATACATTAGTTTACTATTCAAAGAAAATTCACAACTTGAGTAGTCAAAAGTTGAAAGGACACATAAGCCTTTTAATAATTTAAGAATTTTCATGACACCTGAATAAAAAGATTAGAAAATGAGGCTGATAAATTTTATATCTGAATTTCAAGAAAGACTTATTAATTTTATACAAATCAATTACTAATAGAATAGTTTGTATGATAAGTGAATTTATTTTCTCATCACATTCAGTTTTATACTGTGTCTGCCTTTAGTAAATTTACTTTTTTTTTTTTTAAGTGTCTGTGATTGTAATATCTAAATTCCAGGGACATGTGGCTCTTCTGTATTTGCAATGAAAATTTATCTTGAAATACAAGAATGCAAGTCTTCTGTTAGTGTCCTGAACAACTCAAGCCCCAGGGAAATGCTCATCATTTGTAAAAATTAGAGAATTATAATCAGAAATTTAAAAGAGAATTATGTGCATGACTGTAGGACTAAGATGCCATTTATTCATCTCTCTTGAGACTTGTGACTTATTAGGAAATTGGGAGGTTGTTTTGTGTTTGTTCAAATTCTAGCTTCACTTTATAATTAGAATTAATATCTTATTTGTTTCCATTTGTTTCCATTCCTGCACCAAAGTAAACATGGGGCATGAAACGTAAGCCAAAACAGAATTACTTTTATCTTTTCATTACCTTTATGTTACTTTTTTAAAAACTTACCTTTAAAGTATGATAAAAAGAAACCTAATTGGACCACTGAGTGTGAACTAGAAGATTTTAAAACAATCTAAAAGTTTGATAAATTAAAGTTATTACAGAAAGAGTCCTAACCTTCTGCAGTTCATTTATTGAGATCTTACTATGTGCCATTTAAGAAGCTAAGCCATATATATATAGTTTGTTAGCTATATATATATATTTTATATATGTATAGTTTAAATATATAGTTTATATATATATATATATAGTTTGTTACATTATACAAATATTTTTAATGTGAGCCCAGTGGGGTAGTTATTTTTATCTAAACTGAGGTTGAAAGAGTATACCCAAATTGTCCATACATCACATAGTTAATAATACAGTGAATCCGAGATTTGAACCTGAGATTTTCTGACACCAAATGAGGGCAGGATTAGCTCATTGGCATCCAAGTGGCTGGACTAAGAACAATGTTCATCTCAAATGAAAGCTCTGGGGCTGACCTGGTGTTGTGGCTCATGCCTATAATCCTAGTGTTTTAGGAAGCCAAAGCAGGAGGATCTCTTGAGGCCAGGAGTTTGTGACCAGCCTGGGCAACACAGCAAGACCCTATCTCTTCAAAAACTTTAAAAAAAAAATTAGGCAAGCGTGGTGGCCATTTCACTCCGATGCCTAGGCAATGGAGCAAGACCCTGTCTCTAAAAACAACAAAAAAGAAAGACTTGGACTGCCAGAAACCAAGAATCTCCCCCATGGCATCCAACCCTTGACCATGTGAAGAAAGAGATGATTGAAGCCAGAACCTCAGTCCAATTGATCTAATGCTTTCTTATGGAACGTCTTACCCAGTTTTACTTTCTGGTCTACCTTTGACTCTGTTGCCAACTTTTATCCATTTGACCTGCCCCAAATCCCGACTTTTGCACCTGACTCTTACTTTCTTTTGCCCTCATCAGCTACATTCTGGTGCTCCTTTTGGAGATATATTTCAAATCACCTGAACAATAAGACTGAGTTCTAGTCCTCTGCACAGGGTTTTCGAAATTTTGTTTATTTTATAATATCTCAATCCTTCATGAAGAATTTCCTTAAAAAATGTGAATTCAGTTTCTATTTCTTTCTCGCGTAGGGTCCCTCTTTCTCTTAGGACTGTTGATTAAAACCCGGATTCCTGGGCTGGGAGTAGCAATAAAGCAACTGAGAAGCCTTATTCTGGACTCTGGTCAACAAAGGAACATATTTCTTTCTGGGATTATCCCTCAATGTGTTGATCACGCCACATAATTTTACTTTTGTTTTTTTTTTTTTTTTTTCAAAATTCAAACAATTTGTTGAAATTAAAATCAGCAAATATCGCCGATGTTGACCCATGGAAGAGAAGTATAATGCAGTGTAAAAATCAAAAGACCTAGTTTTTAGTCTTGCTACAGAGTAATCTTGATCAAGTTATTAACAACTTATGTAAGTTGTTAATGTCATTTGAGAAATGAGGAGACAAGTTATCTCTAAAGTAATTAAATGTCATAATATTATATAACAATATGAGTTTAACTAGCAAAGGGGGAATCTAAAATTTGGAAGTATAAAGGATTGGGCTGATTAACCAGACTTCTAGTGAAGTAAGTGCACCAAGTTAATATAAAAAAAAATGTTGTATTTATAACTAGCTCAATTTTATTTCATCACCCACGAAGTTTCAGTTTGTTTTCTACCATTGATTTTGAATTTTTAATGACTGAGCATGGAAAATATTAGGAAATGATAGCAAAGTTCTCTTAATGCTCTAGCTAGTGATAGCAGAAAAATCTACTAATAGTGAAAAGTTTTCAAGGAGTCTCAGACTCGAGTGCCAAAGCACATTTGATCACACATGATCCCATTTATGAATTTAATTTTAAGCAGTTTGCAATGAACTATCGGTTAGGAATATAAATTAGATTGAACAAATTCAAGTATTTTTATTGAAATAAAAACTACCATAAAAATAAATGTAAATGACAAACTAAAGTATGTTTGCAATACACATGGCAAATAATTCATTTATTCAACAAAAGACAAAACAATGGGCACATATATAAAATGCTAATTCATGAACTATATGGTATGTTCAAATTCACTAGAAATTAAATAAATGCACATTTAAAAGAAAAGTACGTTATATTTTACTTCTCAGTATGGGAAAGTTTTAAAAGCATGGTAACACCAGGTCTTAGCAAGATGTAGTAACATTAGTACGGTACTTTTATACTCTGTTGTTAGGGATTTAAAATGGTACCATCTTTCTGGTAGACATTTTGGTAGTATGTATTACTCCATTTGAGTGAGCATATTATTTGAATTAACAATTTTACTTCTGGTAAATTTTGTTTTATATGCCTACTTACATAGTTATATAAAAATGTTGTTTTATATATATAAATGTATGTTTCTATATAATGACATTTACGTATAATATTTTTGCTGTAATATTATCTATAATATTGAAAATTTGGGGAAAAAACAAAGATATGCAACTAAAGATGATTAATATCCTATGACAAAATAGAATGCTACGCACATAGGAAAAAAACTCATGATATAGTTTTATATTCATTGATATTGACAAAAATTTTTATAAAATATTAAATAAAAAATCAATTTTACTATTACCACATATATTGCACATATTTTGTGTTTATATGCATTAAAAAAGGATGGAGA
This sequence comes from Homo sapiens, assembly GCF_000001405.40. Classification (NCBI taxonomy): domain Eukaryota; kingdom Metazoa; phylum Chordata; class Mammalia; order Primates; family Hominidae; genus Homo; species Homo sapiens. The sequence continues at coordinate 89,635,813 of NC_000004.12, read as the reverse complement.
GCCATAATAAACATAAATGTTTTTGCAGTTATTTCAGAGCAGAATTTGGGGGTGATTATTTGCTTTTCCTTCAATGAATATTATATGTAATATGAATGAAACAAAAAAAGCAACAGAAGCTATTTTCCTTCAGACTGCACAGTTGATCCAGTTGGCTGGTTATGCATCTCCCTTCTGTTTACACTTGAATATTCTCTCAAAGGACATTTGAACTCCACAAAACATCAACATTTGACAACTTAGTGATATTTCACTGGTAGTAAAAATGACAACAAAAGCAGAGAGAGGTAAGTACAACCTTCACATGCATTAATTTAGACACAAATAAAAGAAAAAATATCTTAGGAGTGGAATTTTAGAAAGAAGTTTTGTTGTGGCATCATCTTCAAATTTTCTCTGCTTCTCACCTACTTGCTGAAATATTTTGTATTATTGAAAAGGATATTTTAATATTTTATTTAAAATAAGAATATTTCAATTACATAAATAATTTTATAATCATCAGCTTTGAACATTGGAACACATTCAATTCTTTTTAACAAAACATATTCAAAGCAACTGTAGGTTGTTCTACCTTTTGAAACAGCAAAATCGTTATTGCATTATTATGTGTGTGAATTATGTGTATCCTTCAATGTGAAGTTTGGTCTTATCACTGGCCCCAAAGTTATTCTAAAGTGAATTATTTCAGAGAGAGGACTTCAAGATAGTAAGGCACAAAAAAATGACTTCTTTTTCTGATTTCTTTCCTAAATTACTCAATTCTTCACCTTGAGATATTTAGTTAACTACTTTAACATCTTCTAGAATATGAGTTTCACGAACACAGAGTAGGTTCTCAAAAATATTTGTTTTATAGCAGCTTTCAGATGTTCTTGATAATCATTTTGTCAAGATTAAATAAAATACCTGAAGGCTTATCATGTAGTAAGTCCTCAATAAACATTAATTGTTATTATAATTAGCTTAATTGCTGGCAAAATATTGTCTTTGGATATGCAGTTGTCTGTTCAGCAAGTATAGAAATTTGCTTCTTACATTAAAAAATACCATACAATAGATTATTGCCTTTAAAAATGGGAGTTAAACTCAAGATGCACTAAATACACCCTATATTAAAATTTGCTGTCACCTCCCATACACAAAACATGGAGTTTTGAACATTGAAATTTAGACTGCTAGTAAAAAAAAAAAAAAAGTCATCTCACAATACATTCATTGAGTGAACACAATTTTTTCTATGTTGGATTCCTATCTGAAATGTCTCAGGATGATAGAGATTAAGTCAAGGGTAGAATATAATTCTGTGTCAAATAACTCTTCTCCTGTCTTAGTTATATAGTTACATAGGAAGCAGTAGGTGTAGTGGTGAAGAGCATTGACTGGATTCAAATCCTGGGTCTGCAATTACAAACTATATGAACTTAAAGCAGCCACTTTATCTTACCAAGGCTTAGTAAACCATAGGAGCACATATACTTACCTCACAGAACTGCATTTGGTAGGATTGAATTGAATGGAGTATGTAAGCGCTTGGTACAGTTCCTAATACAGAGTTAGCACTCAATAAGCAGCAGCAAGTCTTTCTGTTGTTGTCCAGAATTAAAAGGAAGTCTTTGGTAATTCTGGAGTCTAAAACTTTGAAGAAATCCGGATGAAGACTTAGATTGGTATCACTCTGTATCTTTCATTATGCATAGCATTCCTCATTGAATCAATACACTTTGCTTTCTCTCATCTGCCTTCTCCTATTTTTTTGCACCTAGCAGTCATCCTTCCCCTATATAGCTATAGCCTTTGGGATCCGTCTGTCATAATTCAATGTGGGTCAATCTGTCTCAGATGGAAGTGCCTTCCTTATAATCAATGTAACTGACTTGTTTAAAATGAATAGAAAAATACAGTAAGTTTCCAGTTAGAAGAACATATCTTAGTTCTATGGTTGACCATTGTATGGCAATAATAACATTATTGCCTTTGAGCTGAAGAATTCATATCTATAAATCTGAGGTTATATCCATCTCAAAGACTTTTGGACAGGATTAAATAAAATCCTACATAAGCACTAAGTAAAAGGCTATGCCTACCACACAGTGGTTACTCAATGGTGACAGTGGTTGCTTAGCTGTTGATATAAATATTATCATTATCATGATTGCTAGTATTGTTTTTGTAGACTCAGTACTTAACAGAGCCTAGAACAGTGTTTGCACGTGAATGAGTGAATATAACTATAGTCTCACTGCTGAGCAAGTGGTATCATTTTATGTCCATAAGAGAGAGCAGTGTTTTCTACTGGAAACATGAATGAGTATTGGTAGCATCCACAGAACACAATGGCAGCTATTTGTAGCTTCTAATGGTGATGTAATTCAGCTATGTGGCTCAAGGTACTGGTGAGCCCTTAAAATGCAGCTGGCTCAGCTCCTTTAAATAAAAATGATTAGACAAGAAAAAGTGGAAAACAGATTTATTTATAAACCATCCTACAAAGACACAAGGTGGAGTTCTGTTTTCGTGACACACCAGCAACTCTTTAAATATTTACAACCTGGGGAATTCATGTGTAGACGGATGGCATATTTAGGCCTTTAATGTGCCATCTCAGCAGGGCCCGCTTAAGGCTGCCCATCTGGAAGATGAAACTTTACAGCCAATTTAAAAATGTTTTTTCAAGGACAGATAAACTGTTTCTAGCTAATTTCCACCAAGACATATGAAAGCAAACCTGGTGCTTTTTTATTTGGGAACTAACATTTAAACCAGAATTCATACTTCTTTTCCGGAACACCTGTAGAAAACTCCTGCATAGTCAAGACTAATTTAAATTCCCTTCTATAAAACAAGCCATACAACAGTGTTGAATCAGTAGAGAGATATATTTTCCTTTTATGGCAACAAAAGCAGTAAAAAATCTAGTTAGAATTTTATTCTCATCTCTTCTCTTCAGATTTAATGGATAGGTATACTGTGTTAAGTCTCTGCCAATTGAATTAAATTCTTCAGAATTCTACCAAATAAATGTCTAAATGTTATGGAGCAATGTTACATTTCTCTTTGAAAGTTTTGCTTTATTGATTTGTAAAATATCTTTCAAAAGTTATGATATGATTGCTATCTCGAATCTCAAATGCCATAGTACTGGTCAGGATCAGTTCACTGAGTTAGTTGTTCACAAACATTCCTGTGATTTGAAGGATATTTTTCTTTCTTCTCTCTCTCCATCCCACTCATCCTTACTCTTGTCCTTCCTTCCTTCCTCTCTCCCTTTCTTCCTTTCTTTTCTTTCCTTTCTTTCTTGGATTCTCATAAGCTAATAAAGTTGGTGTTCGAGTATGAACCTATCTAAATATTCAACCTCCTTTCTCTCTCCTGAGAGTTCAAATTATTTTCTTCCAGAAGCTATATTTAGATTACTTCTCCACAAAAAAAATAATTTTTAAAACTCTGTATATTACTCAATATGAGGTATAAGCAGAATTTTGGGGAATTGGGGTGGGAAGGAATGGAGAGAGCAATAGCAGGAGCAAGAGCCATCACGAAAGCCACAGCAGAAGTGTTTAGCCCACTGACAAAATCCCAACCACATTCCAGAGTATAATCACAGTATTCATACAAAGTGCCCCCATCATTGTAAGAGTCACTGAAAAAATACTAATGAGCAAAATTAGTTCCTCCAAAATGATTGTCTGTAATATTCATTTTTAAATGGAATTTAACTTGCTCTGAAGTTATCTTTTTGAGAATTAAGCTGTGACACAGCTCTTTCTCTCTCCTCTCAGTCCTTTGAATAGCACATTCTTGAAATTAGTACTGAAATGAAGTAGCCAACATAATTGGATAAAATCCAGGGCAGTAACAGCAGATAGCAAGATATCTCTCTGAGTGTTACCTCTTTTTCAAATAAAGTCCAATATTACTTGACCAAAGAATAGATGATTCTGCTGTTTGTGATGTCTGGTTGCAGGGCTACAGTATCCCCATTTACTTGGCAGTTAGTACAATTAGCCAAGTTAACTGGTAAATGGGTCTCCATTCAACTATTACTCAAGGTTTTATGTAGTTTGAAAACACTGACCATCATTAGCAGAAATCTTCCTATCCTCCTGTGCCAGTTCCTCTAATGTACTTGTAACTGGAGAACCATATAATTGGGCAATGGTTACCCTTATTGGAGAAGAAATCATTTGGAGAGCTGCTTTCAAAGAGTTGGCATGACTAGATCCCCTTTTCTCTACATTTCTTGTATACTATTAAAAAAATGTGTTTGCAATGTTTCTCAAGTCCTTTTCTCCCACCATTATTCTTATTACATTTTTTAATTTATATTATTCTTTGGACATTATTACAAGCCTGTAGAAACTAGTTTTTTTTCTCCATCTTCAAGTTGTGAGCTGACTATGAGCTTCGTAGACCAACTCTGCTTCAACCTGGGATCCTAGTACATGGGGTGAGTTCATTCATTTTCTACAGGACAAATATTTGAGATTTGTAGGTTTTTCTAAGTAGATCAAATTTACATAAGTAAGGAATAAACTTCTATCACATTTAAGCCATTCTCCTTTTAGGTGTTTTTCTTTATGCAGCCGATCTTAATTCTAACTGGTTTAGCTAGTCATCAGGAATAGACACAAACAGACCCTACCTTCTCAGGGAGGGAACACTTGATTTAAGTCTTGAACTAGACCTTTAGCCAGATGGAGCTTGGGTTAGCAGAGGGGAGGTTGCTGTGACTTAGAAGACTGGAGAATTAAGAGGCATTTTGGGTAGAATAAATACTATGTTCAGATGTACTACAAGTACACTCAGATTTAAACCATTAAAGCTTATGAAGGAGGTATCCTAATATGAATCACGTTAGTGATCTCTAGTTTCCCCTTATCCCTATCTTGCAGCAGGCTGACCTCCATGAACTGGATCAACAAGCTCCTTTGCCTCTTGACATTCTGGCTGGGTTCAGTCAATAGGAAGGACCAGCAGAATATCAGAGTGAAGAAACAGAGGGAGGTTTAGGAAAAGTATTCCCTCAGCTTCTTCCCTGAAGAGCCAGTCAGGACTGGCTGCATACTATAACCATAACGAGTCCTTTGCCCGATGCAGTGAGTCAATATATGGAGACACTGGGGGTTGCAGCAGAGAAAGAGTTTAATAATCAATCATCATGCAGTCAATTGAAGAGACCGGAGGAAACCTCAAATCTGCCTCCCTGAGGGGTTTGTGGTTAGGGATTTTAAAGGGCCTGGCCAGGTGATGGGTATTGCGGGGATCACTGATTGGTTGAGAAGTGAGGGGTGAAATTATGGGACAGGAAGACGAAACTGCATTCCTGTGCTGAGTCAGGTCTTTGGTGGGGGTCTTCAGACAGGCTGATGTCAGCCATTCTGCGAATTCAGGATCTGAAAAATACTTTAAGCAATTCTTACGTAAAAAGGTCCAGTGTCAGAGATTCTATCTATAGGAACAATGAGGGATTAGGTGGTCAGCAAGCTACATGACTCTCAGTTACTCGGCAGCTTCAGGGTCAAAGCGCACCCTGGTCAGTTTCTAACTATAATTCTGCCTAAAGACTATGGCAATTCTTGTTAACCCTATGAGAATCCCTCTACCAATGGCCATGGCTCCTGACAGGTGACCTTCTCTCTGGGTTCCAGTGACTTCTCTGTCCCTTTGTCCCTTTAGAACTAGGAGTGGCAGTAGCATCCTGCTGTTACTAACTGTATAAAAAAAAAAAACTATTTTTTTCTTGATACTCACATTCAACATGGAACACTTTTGACAAAAGATATGTGGGTTTCCCATACAAAGTAATTCTGGCATTAACAGCCTGTAGTTAGCACAGATCCCATAGGTTAAGGATTCACACCCACATGGCTGCCCACCCCTCCCTGCCTTCAGATGCCAACTTCAAGTGGTAGATCACCAGGTTGCCCAATATTTTGTTCAACTTGGCTACAAACTGAAGGTTCCCATGACCCCCTCCTCACTTTCCATTATTTGCTAAAGCAGCTCACAATTCAGGAAAACAGTTTACTTATAAGATTACTAGCTTATTACAAAAGATATCTTAGAGGATACAAATGAATAGCCCAGTAAAAAGACAAAATAATAATAGGGGGAGTTTAGAAAGGTCCCAAGCACTCTCTTGTGATTTCTCTTGCTGATACTTTTATAAATGTCCCCTTCATTAACCGCTCCTCAAATAAACCCTATTTTGATAGCTTTTTGTTTCCTAATGGGACCCTGACCTATCAGAGTTCTGATGGTTTTATTTTGCTAATTTATAGCACCTATTAAAATCAGTAGGAGTAAGTACCCAGTAAAAGTACTTATGCTTCAAAATACCTGGATGAATTTGTGAACACGGCAAGAACTTTTTTTTGTTGTTGTTGAGATGGAGTCTTGCTCTATAGCCCAGGCTGGAGTGCAGTGGTGTGATCTCGGCTCACTGCAACCTCCGCCTCCGGGGTCCCGGTTAAGCAATTCTCCTGGCTCAGCCTCCCAAGTAGCTGGGATCACAGGTGCCCACCACCATGCCCAGCTACTTTTTGTATTTTTAGTAGGGACAGGGTTTCACCATGTTGGCCAGGATGGACTTGAACTCCTGACATTTGGGAGGCCGGCCATGGCCTCCCAAAGTGCTGGGATTACAGGTGTGAGCCACTGCACCCAGCCAGCAAGAACTTTTTGAGAATTATTGAAATCACCCTCTGAGTTAAGGAAGCTGTGAGAAACCATATCTTCCAAGTTCTGCTTCTCCTGGTGCACTCCAGTATACAAACGTATGCTGTCTGTGATGGAGCCTCATTTCATCCTGTTAGAAGACTTACTGTTGAGTCCCTGCTATTGTTCAGTTTGTTTCAAGAACTAAGTCTTAACCAAATGGTTTCTACAAAGACTTTGCTTTCTTCCTTTATCCTCTCCCAACCCATCTGCTCTGAAATTGCTTGCTGAATAAAAACTTTACTTGTTAACCCTTGAAATGGCTTTTCTTCTCTTTGTTCAGAACAGTAGCTGTATTTTTGTTTTCATCTTCTCCCATGTTGCTAAAGAGAAAGATTTCTCCTTTTATTTTAGGAAGAATCATTACATTCTTGTAATCAGAGTTGACAACAGATTTTTCTATTGTTCAGTAGCTCCACAAATCCCATGAATAACACTTGAAGGCTACATCCACTGATAGTAGCAGCAGAGGTAGCTTAGGGTTAAGTCACGTACAATAGACAATGGCACTGAAGCAGAAGAGAGGATATCAGTGTCAAAGAAATATACTGGTGGTGTTTAGCTAAAGATTCAAATGGGTATGAGGAATCATAGAAGATGAAGAGGGAGAGGTAGGAAGGTGCTTTTATGCACATTCCTGACTGACACATTCTCCACTGACTACAATCCAACAGCACTGACCTAACTCAGAAGACTCTTCTATGTGGAAAGCAAGAGTATCAAACATTTACAGGGCACCCAGATACAACAAAATACCAAAACAAAAAGGATAAACAAGAATCTAATTGTTGATATATTTAAAATTATAGGGGCAGACATGGGATGATCTTTTTTCTCCCCATTGTAAAAGGTTATAGCAAACATCCCTATAATATAAAACAGGCTAACAAGGGAAAAGGAGAACAAATTCATTACTATTACATGCACAAGTGTTCATGGGAGCCAGACAAAATATGAACTTGAAGAGGAGCCAGGTGATTGGGCTTAAATATTCTCTTCATAGAAGAGAGATGTATAAACCTGGGAAGTGGGAGACAAACCTTATGGAAAGGTGAGGGACAGTGCTGCATAGGAGCAAAGGTACCCTTATTATGCAGATAGAGTTCCCCAGGTAAACTCTTGGAGCTGCCCTCAGAAGAATAGATAAAAAGTCTCTGGGGTGGGGTTTTAACTCACAGTCTCTTCTCTGGTGGTTGCTCTTTTCTGGTTAGTTGATCAGATCCCTAGGGAAGAAGTCTCAAGACAATTGCATTTCTTTTGGAAAGAAGCTTTCTTGGTCAGATAAGTAGATTCCAGAAAGTCCTTCCTTGTGCTTGGAGAGAAGGGAAGAGATGAGACGAGGTTAGAAGGACCTTGATTCTGTGGCAGCTTCCAATGCCTTTCATCACATCCAACTGCCAGTCTTTGGGGAATACAGTTCTGAGCCCCAACAGGACCTACTGTGTGCCAGAAAGGATGAAGAAATGTGTTTCCTAGGCTTGTTCTGACATTGTGTAGTTTCTCTTTTAACCCTGAAAACCACTTGAAAAATTCTTTTTTATGTCTATCAATAAACATTGATTTTATTTCTTCATCCTGTCATTTCAAATTGTTTTGATGAAATTTGATTTCTTTTGAAAAAATAAATCAGGCCGGGTGCGGTGGCTCACGCCTGTAATCCCAGCACTTTGGGAGGCCGAGGCGGGTGGATCATGAGGTCAGGAGATCGAGACCATCCTGGCTAACAAGGTGAAACCCCGTCTCTACTAAAAATACAAAAAATTAGCCGGGCACGGTGGCGGGCGCCTGTAGTCCCAGCTACTGGGGAGGCTGAGGCAGGAGAATGGCGTGAACCCGGGAAGCGGAGCTTGCAGTGAGCCGAGATTGCGCCACTGCAGTCCGCAGTCCGACCTGGGCGACAGAGCGAGACTCCGTCTCAAAAAAAAAAAAAAGAAAAAAGAAAAAATAAATCAGTACTCAAAGATTTATTTTCCATTCTGCTATTCTCATTTTGTCAGCCAGCTCTTATCACGGGGCTCAAAATGGGTATAGCAGTACATGCATAAACAGCAATGTCCAGAGGTGAAAAAAAGAGGGAAAATAAAACAAATCCTTGTGTATCATTTAAGATCTAAAAAATCTTTTTCTGAATCCTTAGCCATCTCCTTATGTTTCATTGGAGAATTAGGTCTCCAGTGGCCTGAATTAGGTCACATGGTACTTCTTAACCCATTCTGGTCAGTAGGCAATGGAATTACCGACATTGGCTTAGTCAAGCCATAATTATCTAAAAAAGCATAATTGGGTTATCAAGATTTCTGTCCTGTGGCAAAGGCCAGCCTTCCTTGAAGCATACCTTCAGGGAAAGGAATACTAACACCTAAAAACAGAAGAGTTTCATTAGTAAGAAGAAGAGGGAAATAGCCTTTAAGCAGACAATCACCAATGTCTATAAGAGTGACTGAAAAATAAAAAAGACTATGTAAATGCAAGGGACTATAACTGAGGGAAGAAAACATCAATAGTGGAAAGATTTTAAGCAATAATTGTGTTACAGGAAAGGGGTCCCAATCCAGACCCCAAGAGAGGGTTCTTGGATCTTGAGGAAGAAAGAATCCAGGGCGAGTCTGCAGAGCAAAGTAAAAGCAAGTTTATTAAGAGAGTAAAGTATTGAAAGAACAGCTACTCCACAGACAGAGTAGGATGTTCCCGAAAGTAAGAGGAGGAACATGTTCACCATGGGTACAATGCTTGTTTATATGGGGAGATGTGCTCTGTTACAAGGGTTTGTGATAAAGGATTAATTTTCTTAACCACTATATTTTGCAAGAATCGATATTATTATCTTTAAAGCAAAATTAGGAATGCCTTTTTTCTTCAGATATGGGGATATCTGGACACTCCCAAGTCTGGGTCTGTTTAGTAAGCATTATTAATTTGTTCCCTTAACCATAAACATCTAGAGGCTAGGAATGCCTAACTTTCTGGGAATGCAGCCCAGCAGGTCTCAACCTAATTTTCCTAGCCCTCATTCAAAATGGAGTCACTCTGGTTTGAATGCCTCAGACAACTGGGTAGAGGAATTTATTTTATTTATTTATCTAGTTTTCCTGGAGAGTGACTTTGCTCATTCCCTGGAGAAAGTCTTTGTATAAGCAGCATTTTATCTTTTTTGGTTAAAAAAAAAAAAAGAAAAGAAAAGAAAAAAAAGATGGTGGCTAGAGAATATTTATGTCCTACATCAAGGAAGAATTGAATTTATTGAATTTAGTTTTATTTAATTTCTTGTCCTGAAAGATAATCTGCAACTCATCCAACCATGGGTCAAAGTATAATCCAATTTTCCCACTGAGCTGATTGACAAATTCTTATCTTAACAAGATTAAGACTTTAAAGCAGGAACTTCTCTGATGTTTCAAAAAGCAATAGCTTTTTACTGATTTTCTTGCACATTTGACCACTGCTTGTCTTGTTAAGTTGCCATTTGTTCTTTAAAAATCTTTATCATCTTTATATTCTAGGTCTTTTTTCTTTATCAGTGGCAATAGTGCTTTCCATTTGCCCTTTAGCTGACTGAAAGGCCAGGGTAGCTGTTTAAAACATCTGAAACACCTCTAAGACACCTTAAATATTTCAGGAAAATATGTAGCATAGGGCTATCCTAACAGCAGAACCATGAATCCTAAGCCTAAATTCATGAATATAGGATAGTATACTGTAAGTAGAGCAGGATTCTAGGTGTGACTATAGTATGCTATAAGAAGATCCTATATGTGAGCATGAACTTCTACCTTCATCCAAAAAAGTAAATGTCTAATAAAAGCTGTTTTCCTTCATTTATCTTTTAGTGAGTAGCCTGTGGGGGGTTGACCTTCTCAAAGGCCTTCCCAAGAGCCTTTTTGGTATGTGTGAGTATCAGTCAATTTATAGATCTACCTCCAAATAAGGGAGTCTGGGTTCTCTGGAGAGTTGGCCCAGTTCTGAAAGGAAAGCTTAAAGTAGCCTGTCTGCTTATGAGTACAGGTTATCTAATATTAGCTTCTGCGTGATGGAAAACAAATTGCCTTATTTATTAATCACTGCATAACAGACTGACCTCATGATGCAGAAAGCATTTTAAATTTGTAATAGTTTTATTTGGGGAAAATACTCAATTGCATTTTATGCAGATTAATCAGGTTTTCAATTGTTCCGATTCAATTATTCTTTTCAGTTCTCCCAGGAAAAAAAGTCTGATTTTCAAATTTTCTAATTTCATTATCAGCTTCAGAAAATGTAAATGATCACATGCATTGTAATCATTTTAATACCAACAGTGGTAAAACTGTGAGTGCTGCTCAGAATATAAGGAAATGTCTCTAATCAGACATGACTGTAGTATGTATAATATACTATTATATATATACACCAGATATAATCCTCCTGCCTAAGACAAAGTAAGTTTTTGAAAAAACAGGGCCTGAAAAGAAGTTCTGGTCTGCTAACCGGAACCTGAAGGAGATCAGTAACTTTATCAAATATGTGCATGTAAGTCAGATTGCCTGGGTTAAAATCCCAGCTCCATAATTTTTTGGCCATGTGATTTTAAAAGGTTCTTCAAAGTCTCTGTGCTTTAGTATCTTCATTTGTAAAATGGTAGTGATAATAAGAATAATGACAGAATTGGTTCATTGTGACCATTAAATTAAGTAGTATAAATAAAGTACTTTGGGGAGCACATGGCTCAGTGTTAGAAATTATTAGTATTATATCACTATCTCTTTTAAGTTGGACATTCTTCAATATAATTTTTATCATTTTTAATAGGATTAGAGGCAATCTGATTCAGAAATTTCTTTACATTCCTTGCTTGGTATGGCCAAACATTCATTGCTTTACGGGAACTAGAAAGCAGTGAATTAGTGCCATTCTATCAGTAAGTTTTATTAAGGTCCTGGTAGGAGGCAGACCCGATCCTAGACATTAAGCAGAAATGATGAAAGACACACAAAAAAACAAAGATGCACTTTGCATGCAAAGAATTTACGGTTTGATCAATGTAATCAACACACAAGAAAATAATCAGCAATAAACCAGAATTAGAAATTAGGCACACATTATGCATATCCCTAATATTGCGCCGCTCCCATGAGGTAATAATTATTAGTTGATAACTCTCTCCCTGTGAGTTTAGAAGTTCTTTGAAAGCAGCTATGATCCTGCTTGTTAGAGGTCTAGGTATGGTACCATGCACTCTGTAAGTGTGAATCTTTGAGAATAAAGAAACTGCAGCAGTCAGGGGAGTGATCACAGTTATATGAGTGGAAAGAAACTGGAATGAAAGAAAAACGAATTGAGGCTGCTGAGATAATTGGCTCTCCCACTATTTACCTATGGATTTGAACCTGTGAAATGAAAAGATTAATCTAGAATCTAGATTAGTATTATTCCAAGTTTTTTTTTTTCATTTTTAAATAGGGCAAAAACATTCTTCGAAGGAAATCTTTTGAGTAAAAGCCAACAAGAATGGAGGACCACAAACAGTCTTGGGATTGCAGAGAAGACCACCTGGATGAATCAATGTTTTTTTTGTTTGTTTGTTTTGTTTTTTGTTTGTTCGTTTTTTAGAGACGGAGTCTCGCTCTTTCGCCCAGGCCGGACTGTAGTGGCCTATCTCGGCTCACTGCAAGCTCCGCCTCCCGGGTTCACGCCATTCTCCTGCCTCAGCCGCCTGAGCAGCTGGGACTACAGGCGCCCGCCACCGCGCTCGGCTAATTTTTTGTATTTTTAGTAGAGACGGGGTTTCACCGTGTTAGCCAGGATGGTCTCGATCTCCTGACCTTGTGATCCGCCCGCCTCGGCCTTCCAAAGTGCTGGGATTACAGGCGTGAGCCACCGTGCCCAGCCAATGAATCAATGTTTTAAGCTGAGTCCTGAAGGGCAAATGGGAGTTACCCAAGAAAAGAATGTGAACATAAGAGAAGATTGTTCCAGAAGCTAGAAAGAGCATGGAATTAAAATCCATTAATTTTGGCTGAATTCAAGAATGTGAAGAGGAAATGGAAAGAAATAGGGCTTAAAAACTAAGCAAAGGCCAGATCAAAAAGGTCCATAGAAACTATGTTAAGAAGTTTTGGACTTTATGACAGTGGGTAACTATTAAAGAGTTTTAAAGAAGACAGCAATCTCACATTTGTTCTTCAGAAAAATAATTCTGGCTCTAATGCTGAGAAGGAATGTAATAGGAGCGGGGTTAAGGCAAAGATGTCATTTAGGAAATTGTTGCAGTAATTTTAGTAAGAGAAGTCAGAAGTTTAAGCCAAAAAGGTGACATGAAATCCCCTCACTCCCTGATTCAGTCACCTCTTTTCCACTTCATTATAGTGCTGATACCACAGCCCTGGGTAAATCTAACTCTTTTCTAACGCTATGCCTGTACTTAAGAAATTAGATGTAGCTGGGGAAAAACAAACAAGTAAGCTGATAGATCTCATTTTAAATTCATGAAAATAGCTACCTATAGGCCCTTAAAATGCTGCTCAATAATCATCTTCTACATCCCCTGTGTCCATTCAGTCTCCCATTGTCCTAAAAAATATATATACATTTTATGATTTCTCCCCTCTCTGAAAATCCCCAATACCTCTTTCCCCATTCTCACTCTCAGCTTATGACCTTTCTTCTTACTTCACAAAGAAACCTGGAGCAACCATAGGCGCCTTCACCAGATTCCCACCATGACATCTAGCCACCTACCTATCAGGACCTGCCACCCACCCTTCTATCCAGCTACTTCAGGTGACCTGTCCATGCTTCTATCCAAAGCCCATCCCTCTACTGCATCCCATCTCCTCTCACCTCCTTTAGGATGTCACTTTAGTAGTTTTCCCCTCCCTCCTTCATCAATAACTTTTTAGTCATTACCAAATATTCTTACCATCATTGAAATATAATGTTACTTATCTCATCTTAGAGAAAACTTTTCATTACTCCACCCATTTCACCAGCTCCCGTTTCTTTGCCCCTTTTTTGCAACAAACCTCTTGAAAGTTCTATTTTTCCAGTTTCTCTCCTCTCTTTTCTATAAACCCATGGCAATCAGACATTTGCTCGCACCACATCACAGAAATCATTGTTATCAAAGTCATCAAGGATCTCGTTACTTCTTAGATGTAGGTCCTGCTCTTGCTTAATGTATCAGTAGTATTTCAGTCAGTTAGTCATTCTGTCCTCCTATAAGTGATTGAATTGGCTTTGAGGATAACATTTCCTCTTGGTTTTTATCCTACCTCATTGATTACTCTTTCTTGGTTTCCTCTTGTGGTTTTTCTTCTCTCAACCTTTTAATATTAAATTGTTATAATTCTCAAATTCTGGGCCTTCTTTCTTCTCTATCTACTATGAAAGTTGTCAGAATCAAAATGGAATCACTTGTGTTAAAAGCTCTGACAAATGAAGCTGGGGAAAGCCATGAAGAGAGGCTTCTCATGCATGAATGTCTGATAATAAGAACTATCACAAAAGACTTAAAAATGACAACCTTGCACAAAGGCCATCTCAACCTTACACAAAAAATATTTCTGCAAGAATATCTGCCCAGCAACTGCCTGTCCAATCTCCAACTGGCACAACCCTTGTTATTATTGATCCTTGTAGTCCAGGATAATTATCTCAAAACAATTATGCAATCTTCCTTATTTTTTTTAAACTTTGTCTTTATCACCCAGAATACCCACATAGTTTACTATGGCACACACATTCCCATTTCGATGCTCATATCCAAATAAATATTATTTTCTTTTAAAGAGCTTCTTTTGTCTGTTATTTGGTTTGACACTACACTTCCATAGTGATTGTATCCAAACCTATAAGTTTAAATACCCTCTATATGCTATTCAGCCCAGTCCTCTATTAAGAATGTTATAGCTAAAACCAGAGTATCTTATCAACTGGTCACAGTAATTGATTTAGGGATAAGTATATAATGTAAGCTAGTTGAATAAGAATGAGCCTTAATATTTGCTCTGGAAATTCTAGTGCATAGATTCACATGTTCTTCACTGGACATAAGGATTTGGAGCTTGAAACTGCTGTAGTTAATATTTGCCAGAAGCCCACTGTATGCCTGTTTTTGGAGCCAAAATGGAAAGGAACCAGATTCTGGAAGTGGATTCTGATGACCTTGTTTGAGTCCTGAGTGAAACCACACCTCAAACCAGATCAATTGTTGGAATATTCAGTTCCATGAGGGTAAAATTATCATTTTTAGTTGAGATTTCTGTTGTTCAAAACACATGCATTCTATCTGATATACATCCACATGAGTTAGATATTTTTACCTCTACTTCATATTAGGTTTGTGCAAAGGTAATTGTGGTTTTTGCATTACTATTAATGCGACAAGAAAACCATAGTAATGGTTTAATACAAGAGAAAACCCATGGTAAGATGCCTATATAATTTTCCCAAAGTCATTCGTCTAGTAAATGCTGGCATCAGGATGATCCAATAGGCAGAATTTAGACTCCACATTCATAGCTACAACTCATTTTGAGTTGGAGTTTGGAGATACTGGAATGGACAACATTCTATATGTTGTGTCCCTTTAAAGTGTATGTGTGTGCATGTGTGTGTATATGCGTACTCTTATTCTAAGTACTAAATTAGAACATTAAACACATAGCCATATTTCCTAAAAAAAAAATCAAAGAAGTGATTCTCATTTATTATTTAGCCACACTCCTGGGAATATCCTGAGAATCAACTTTACTCTTTGGTCTGTGTCCTCAACTTTAATTGTATTCTTCACAGAACAATAAACATAGTACTCTCACCTACAGATTTTGGGTTCTTGTATTTTCAGATCTGCATACAGTAACCAAGAATCTGGTTTTGTAATGTCTAGATTTTATAAGACAGATTTATTTTCCTACCACTAAAATGTTAGTGTAAGTGAGCAGGTCAGTGAAATGCACACAGAATGAGTAATCTGGGAGTCCTGGGTTCAAACACTGATTCTTGTGATATTGGGCAAGGTTTTTAGTTCATTGGAGCCCTTTTCTCCTTCATAAAGAGTGAAACACAAATATCTACCTTACAGGACTGTGGTTATGATTAAATGAGACAACAAATGCCTGACATATAATGGACCTTGAACAAATCATAGTGTCTTTTTCTTCTTTAATTTTCAAAATTCTATTGAAATATAAATCTCTGTATTAGTAAAGAAGATCCCCAAGTGTCATTTCAAAGCATATTTTTTTCAATAAGTGTTGATCTTAACAACTATGGTATGCTGCATCACAAGATACACCCTCCTCCACTCACCCCTTTTTAATAAGACATTAGCCCTGCTGACAGGAAGCATTGGAGTGTGCCAATGCAGAGCCATGAGAGTGGCTCAATAATGTCCTGGGCAGAGGAAGAAGTCATTCTGGCATTCAGAATTGTCCCAGAGGTGACACAAGGATGGATTAGCAATATTGCCCCCACTGACATTATATGGATGTGCCCTGACCATTCTGTAGCTGAAAAAAATCCACTCCAAACTTCCCACTACAGAGAATTCAATTTGACATTGTTTAGCATCCTACACAGTGAATGGGGAACTTATTGCATTTGCTGTCTTATCTCAGAATGGAAGTGTTTTTCTTTAAGAATTCTCAGAAGGGAGTGATTCTTTGATAATTGAACTCCCTGTGGTTTTGGTCAAGTGGAAACAGTGCACAGAGGCTTCAAAGAAATGAAAGCTGTGAGCACAGAGCAGAAGCTTTTCTGGCGGTGATGAGAAGAGGCATCTCTTTGACCCTTTAAGTAATGAAAGCCAATCATTTAGAAAAAGCCCAGGCTGAAGTCCCTAAAGAGAGAAAAGAAAGGAGTGAGCAGAGCCTGATGTGGGAGAACTTGCTCTACACTTGAGGGCCCTCCCAAAATGGTTTCTACCCTTTTCAGTGTGATGATTTTGTTCACAAGAAATATTACGTAAATTCAAAGTTAGAAGCAAATGAAGTTAAGTCATATAAAATAAAAATTGTTCATCCTGAAAGGATTGCTTCAATTCAGCAAAAAGGAGAGACATCTTAAAAGAGTACATGGATCATTAGATAGCAGTAGACGTTGCCTACAGGAGGACTGATCTTTAGTGAAGACAAAATAGAGTTCCACTGCAGAAATTCTACAAAAATGAAAACACAGGAAAACAGACCTGTGGGAGTAGTTGTGTTTTACCTTTTGTTTTGTTATAGCTGTGTCTACTTCTCTTTATCACAAGATAAACCTGCATAGTTCTTAGAACAGAAACCAATAGTATCTACCAAGTGCTGGAATGGAACCAGAGTCACAAGCAGAACTAATATTTTTCTTCTGCTGAATCAGGGTGAGAAAATCTGATATAAATCTCATTGGCTTTGTCTACCTGGTATTACAAATGTATTTCATTAGGTTGCCATAATTAGGTTTTTCACAAAGATTAGCCATTTATCCAGAGTGCCAAAACATTCATCTTTTCCTCATTCTGAATTTACTAGGGATATTTTATCAGAAAGATATAGTTTTACTTCTAGGGATATACTCACATTTTCTTCACTTTCACATTCTTTTTATTTAAAAAAGAAATGAGAAGTGGCCCATTGCTACCATATAATGTAATATGTTATGTCTTAATATCCCTTTGAAATGCCACAATCCCCACAGCAGTAGCAGTTTAGCATCCCTGAAGGCATGGTAAGAGCCTATACTGCTTGAAGAGCAGTGAACTGTGTTCTAGTCTGATTTTCTGAAAGTAGATGAAATATTTAGCAACTGAACTGAAAAGAGCCGCTGTTCCTAATAACCACAGCTCCCAGGAGGGAGTCAAGCCGTGCTCTGGGCTCTATTGCTAAGGAATTTCATAAGGGTCAGAGCTGTATCAATCAACCAACCTGAAAATAGCTATTGAGTGGTACATCATCATCATAATAAACAGATATTTTTATTTGCCTCACTAGGAACAGGGTACCCTTTTAGGTAACAGGGCAACAAAATGGCTCAAGAACCTAATATCCAGTTTCAAAAATCTTCATTTCTACTCATTTCAGTGGTAACTTCTGTGCCAGAATAGTATACATTTTTTTTTCAGGCAGCCATCATTAAATTTACGGAAAATTAAAAGAGAAAAAAATGTATACTTTATAAGTGCTTTTTCAGGAACACTATATGTAAATTCTATGAAGGTAAGCAACAAGGCCTGCGAATTTAGCCTTTTCAACACCATTAGATTAGGCATAAAGTGAATAACCAGCATTAATTTGCATTTATTGTATTTCTATTACCACAGTACATTTACTGGCAAGTAATTAATCATTGTTTACATTTTAAGGTAAACATATGACTCTCACAACTTGAACTATGTGAAGAAAAGAATAGACATTAAAAATTGCACTAGGACTAGAAATAGAGATATTTAATCACCCACTTAACATATGCCTGGAATAAGAGGCAGGGTGAACAGTTGTACTATTCTTTATAATGCAAACTCCAATGCAAAAGCTAATTTTGCCTTTCATCTTAGAGAAGACAGCATTATTCCCTTCACGTGCACAAGCACACACTAAGCATCCAAATCAGCATGGGCCCCATCATATTACGCACAGCACAATTTGCAGCGGCTAATAAGAAAAACCTGCAGCCAAACTCCTGGCTACCAGACCAGAAAACATGAGTCACATGCTTCTTCAAGCAGCTCCAATCTAGTAATTATTTAACCTTTGCTAGTTGAACCAGAACAACATAGGTATTTCTTGAACTTAAAAAGTAAGACTGAATTCTGTTCTATTCATTAGTATTCCCAAGTGCTTCAAGATGATACATAAATAGAAATGACAACAGCTAACCTTTATTGAGCATTTACTGTGTGGGAGATACCAAGAGAAGCACTTTACGTATATTATCTTGTTTAATCCTTACCACAAACCTATGATATAGGTAACCTTATTAAGCATAACAAGCTTAAATAATTTTCATGAGGTCACATAGCTAATAAGAGATGAAGCTGTAAACTCAGACAACAGCCAACCTTTTAAACTCTGCCTCACAAAGCTACTCAGATGAGTAGGAAATAAGTAAGTTCCAAGTAGAAAAGGTAATTCTGCTTTATGTAAGAATTCTGCTCCCGTACCTGAAGCTTCCTGCATTTAGACTCACTCTAATACTGTCTTTGCTAAAATTCAAACAGGTACCTGGAATGGATAAGCACTTTCACCAATTTGTACCAATAAGCCTAATTCTCAGAGCCCAATGCACTGAAAACAGGCAAATATCTTAAAGAAGGAACACAGACAGGAAGTATCCTCAGAATGGTGGCCCCTGAACAGGGACATTCAAAAGAGAGAGATCCTTGGGCTTAGGGACAGCCTGAAACCACTGGACTTGAAGCAAAAGCAGAGGACATGGCTAGAGGAGATGTGGAAAGGAAGCTGCAGGTGGAATACTGCAGTAAGACAGATTAAAATCAACCTCCGGGTTTTCCTTAGAATAAACATTCTTCATGGGTCAGTTAAAGGTATAGCCTTGCCACCTGCTGTCCCATTCATGGGCAAGTCAACACAAGACTTTTCTAAGAATTCAGCAATCTCGCCACTGGGCATTTATCCAAAATAAAGGAAATCATATTACAGAGACATCTGCACCCCTATGTTTATTGCAGCACTATTCACAATAGCCAAGATAAGGATTTAACCTAGGTGCCCAACAACAGATGAATGAAAAAGAAAATGTGGTATACATACACAATGAAATACTATTTAGACATAAAAAAAAAAAGAAAGAAATCCTGTCATATGCAGCAACATGGATGGAACTGGAGGACATCATGTTAAGTGAAATAAGCCGGGGACCGAAAGTTAAACACTGTAAGTTCTCACTCATATATGGAAGCTAAGAAAAGCTGATCTCTTAGAAGTAAAAATTAGAACAGAGGACACTAGAGACTGGGAAGAGCCGGGGGAAGGGGAAGACAGGGAAAGATGTGGTAAAGGGTACAAAATTATAGCTAGATGGGAGAAGTAAGTTCTAGTTTTTTATAGCACTATAGGATGACTATAGTTAACAATAATATATAGTTTCAATTACCTAGAAGGAGGATACTGAATGTTTCTAACACAAATTTAAAATGTTTGAGATTATGGATATGCTAATTACCCTTATCTGATCACTATATATGTATCACAACATCCCTATGTACCCCATAAATACATACAATTATTATGTGTCAATTAAAAAAATTAAATACTACAATGGAAAAAAAGACCTATAGAGAATTCTACTCCATTGTTTTTTATAATATGAAATTCATACTTATAACAACTTCTACTTTGAAATATTGACAGTTTATCAAAGGAAGAAGGCATAACATTTAGTAATTACTTATTAAATTGAATTGAAAAATTGTTTTCAAATTATCCCACATTAATTAAAATTAATATCTCATATGTTTTCCTAAAACAAAATATGAACATGTCGAATGAAAGCAATCTTTTTCATTATCAACTCCTTTTGCTCACATGAAGACAATGTGTACTTCTCACATGGCTATTGTCTATGATTTTTTTTACATGATGAGGTGCGTTTACTAACTTACAGCTTATTAGATCTGTCTTGCAAATTGGCTTTCTGACCTAGTCAACTTTTATTTACACTAATGATGATATTCAGACTATGTAGCGATATAAACAGGGTTGTGTCTATCTTGCAGTATTAACACTATTCTCTCTTTAAATTTATTTTCATAAAATGACTTTTAAAGTAGTTTATATTGAGGCATATTGCTAATTTAGTCTTTCTATTTTTAACATAAGAAACTCCTATGAATTATTTATGAAGTTTGCACAACAGTAGTGTCCTGTAATCAGTTAATAATTACACATGCCGGCACTGTGGCTCATGCCTGTAATCCCAGAACTTTGGAAGGCTGAGGCGGGTGGATCACTTGAGCCCAGGAGTTAGAGACCAGCCTGGGCAACACAGCAAAACCCCATCCCTACAAAAAATAAAAAAATAAAAATTAGCCTGGCGTGGTGGTGCATGCCTGTAGTCCCAGCTCCTGGAGAAGCTGAGGTGGGAGGATCACTTGAGCCTGGAGATGTAGGCTGCAGTAAGCCAAGATCACATCACTGCACTCTAGGAAGACCCTGTCTCGAAAAAACAAAAACAAAAACAAAACCACACAATGAAACATTTCGAATGTATTCATAAACATTTTATATTCTGAATAAGAAAAATGAAGCACAAGGAATTGTATGCATTACTGAATCTAAAACTATAACTTTATTTCTGTAGAAAAATAAAATATCACCACATGGCATAATGAAAGGAGTTTGGATTTTAGACTTTAATGTACAAACTCAGGTTCAAAATATGCTTCCCTTTCTTAAACAGCAGGTGTAATGAAGAAGTGAACTCAAGAGGACATAATCAAAAGCAACCATCCATTCTCCCACTGACCCTTCAAATCCTCTCACTGGGCTAGTTCTTTCCCTGTCTTTGAATTTCTTAATCACTTTTAGTCACATTTCACATGAAGAATGACATTTCAACATGAAGGTGCCACCTCTTAAAAGAAGGATAATATCTATGTAGTGAAAGATTAATCTTACCCAAAGAGAAATCTAACCTTTGCCATAGCTCCAGCTCCTTCCTGAGAGGTAATCTGTAAACCCTTGGAATTTTTCAAGTGATAGGAAAGTCTTTGTTATTCATGGTGAGGCCCTGGATCACACCTGATAGTTTATGCTAAGTAGATAACTCAGGGTGAAGCTGGCCACAACCACAGTCTTAAAATGAAGGCTGGCCATGCCAGAAAGACAACCATGTGATTAGATGGTTGGAACATAGAACCAGGCAATATAAGTGTGACTTCTGGAGGGAGGAGGCTAGAGATGCAGTTCAACCATGTGGGCCATGGGCCATAGGCCATGATTTCATCAATCCTCCTTACATAAGGAAAACTCGATAAAATCTCTAGACACCAAAGTCAGTTGAGCTTTCTTTTTTTTTTTTTTCCATAAGCTATTGGGGTACAAGTGTTATTTGGTTACAGGAGTAAGTTCTTTAGCGGTGATTGTGAGATTTTGGTGCACCCATCACCCGAGCAGTATACACTGCACCATATTTGTAGTCTTCTATCCCTCACCCCCCTCCCATTCTTCCCCCAAAGTCTCCAAAGTCCATTCCATCATTCTTATGCCTTTGTGTCCTCAGAGCTTAGCTCCTGCATATCGGTGAGAACATACAATGTTTGGTTTTCCATTCCTGAGTTACTTCACTTAAAATAATAGTCTCCAGTCTCATCCAGGTCACTGCAAATGCTGTTAATTCATTCCTTTTAGTGGCTGCATAGTATTCCATTGTATATATACACCACAGTTTCTTTGTCCACTTATTGATTGATGGGCATTTGGGTTGGTTCCACAATTTTGCAGTTGTGAATTGCGCTACTATAAACATGCATGTGAAGGTATCTTTTTCGAATAATGACTTATTTTCCTCCAGGCAGATACCCAGTAGTGGGATTGCTGGAGCAAGTGGTAGTTCTACTTTAGTTCTTTAAGGAATCTCCACACTGTATTTTGCTAAGGATTTTGGCATCTGTGTTCAACAAAGATATCAGTCTGCAGTTTTCTTTTTTGGTTATGTCCTTTCCTGGTTTTGGTATCAGGGTGATGCTGGCTTCATAGAATGAATTAGGGAGGGTTTCTTCTTTCTCTGTCTTATGGAATAGTGTCAAAAGGATTGGTACCAATTCTTCTTTGAATGTCTGGTAGAATTCTGCTGTGAATCCATCTGGTCCTGAATAATTTTTTGTTGGTGATTTAAAAATTACCATTTCAATTTCATTGCTTGTTATTGGTCTGTTCAGGGTATCTAATTCTTCCTGATTTATGCTAGGAGGGTTGTATTTTTCCAGGAACTTATACATCTCTTCTAGGTTTTCTAGTTTATGTGTGTAAAGGTGTTCATAGTAGCCTTGAATGATCTTTTGTATTTCAGTGGTGTCAGTTGTAATATCTCCTGTTTTGTTTCTTAATGAGGTTATTTGGATTTTTATCTCTTCTTCTCTTGGTTAATCTTGTCAATGATCTATCAATTTTATTTATCTTTTCAAAGAACCAGTTTTTTGTTTCATTTATCTTTTGTAATTTTTTTTGTTTCAATTTCATTTAGTTCTGCTCTGATCTTGGTTATTTCCTTTCTTCTTCTGGGTTTGGGTTTGGTTTGTTCATGTCTCTCTAGTTCCTTGAGGTGTGACCTTAGAATGTCAGTTTGTGCTCTTTCAGTCTTTTCGTTGTAGGCAGTTAGGGCTATGAACTTTCCTCTTAACACTGCCTTTGCTGTATCTAAAAGGTTTTGATAGGTTGTGTCATTATTACTGTTCAGTTTGAAGAGCTTTTTAATTTCCATCTTGATTTCATTTTTGACCCAATGCTTATTTAGGAGCAGGTTATTTAATTTCCATGTATTTGCATGATTTTGAAGATTCCTTTTGGAGTTGATTTCCAGTTTTATTCCACTGTAGTCTGAGAGAGTGCTTGATATAATTTCAATTTTCTGAAATTTATTGAGGCTTGTTTTATGGCCTATCATATGGTCTGCCTTGGAGAAAGTTCCATGTGTTGTTGAATAGAATGTGTATTCTGCAGCAGTTGGATGAAATGTTCTGTATGTATCTGTTAAGTCCATTTGTTCCAAGGTATAGTTTAAATCCATTGTTTCTTTGTTGATTTTCTGTGTTGATGACCTGTCTAGTGCTGGCAGTGGAGTACTGAAGTCCCTCACTATTATTGTGTTGCTGTCCATCTCATTTCTTAGGTCTATTAGTAATTGTGTTATGAGTTTGAGAGCTCCAGTGTTAGGTGCATATATTTTAGAATTGTGATATTTTCCTGTTGGACAAGGCCTGTCACCATTATATAATGACCCTCTTTGTCTCTTTTAACTGCTGTTGCTTTAGAGTTTGTTTTGTCTGATATAAGAAAAGCTACCCCTGATGACTTTTGTTGTCCATTTGCATGAAATACCTTTTTCCATCCCCTGACTTTAAGTTTATGTGAGTCCTTATGTGCTAGGTGACTCTCCTGAAGGCAGCAGGTAGTTGGCTAGTGAGTGCTTATCCATTCTGCAGTTCTGTATCTTTTAAGTGGTGCATTTAGGCCATTTACATTCAATGTTAGTTTTGAGATGTGAGGTACTGTTGCTTTCATCATGCTTTTTGTTGCCTGTGTACATTGGTTTTTTTTTGTTTTTGATTTTTAACTTGTATTTTTGTTTTATAGGTCCTGTGTGATTTATGCTTTAAATAGGTTCCATTTTGATGTGCTTCTAGGATTTGTTTCAAGATTTAGAGCTCTTTTTAACAGTTCTTGTAGTGGTGGCTCAGTAATGGCGAATTCTCTCAGCATTTGTTTGTCTGGAAAAGACTGTATCTTTCCTTCATATATGATGCTTAGTTTCGCTGGATACAAAATTCTTGGCTGATAATTGTTCTGTTTGAAGAAGCTGAAGATAGGGCCCCACTCCCTTCTAGTTTGTGGGGTTTCTGCTGAGAAATCTGCTGTTTATCTGATAGGTTTTCCTTTATAGTTTATGGTGCTTCTGTCTCACAGCTCTTAAGATTCTTTTGGATAACCTGATGACAATGTGTCTAGGCAAAGATATTTTTGTGATGAATTTCTCAGGTGTTCTTTGTGCTTCTTTCATTTGGATGTCTAGGTCTCTAGCAAGGCTGGGGAAGTCTTCCTCGATTATTCCCCCAAATATGTTTTCCAAGCTTTTAGAGTTCTCTTCTTCCTCATTAACACCGATTATTCTTAGCTTTGGTCATTTAACATAATACCAGACTTCTTCAAGGCTTTGTTCATATTTTCTTATTCTTTTTTCTTTGTCTTTGTTGGATTGTGTTAATTCAAAGACCTTGTCTTCAAGCTCTAAATTTCTTTCTTCTACTTGTTCAGTTCTATTGCTGAGACTTTCCAGAGCATTTTGCATTTCTAAAAGTGTGTCCAAAGATTTCTGAATTTTTGTTTTTCCTTTAAGCTATCTATTTCCTTGAATATTTCTCCCTTGACTTCTTGTATCATATTTTAGATTTCCTTGCATTGGGCTTTGCCTTTCTCTGGTCCCTCCCTGATTAGCTTAATAACTAACTTCCTGAATTCTTTTTCAGGTAAATCAGGGATTCTTTTTGGTTTGAATCCATTGCTGGTGAACTAGTGTGATATTTTGGGGGTGTTGAAGAGCCTTGTTTTGTCATATTACCAGGGTTGATTTTCTGGTTCCTTCTCATTTGGGTAGCCTCTGTCAGAGGGAAGGTCTAGGGCTGAAAGCTGTTGTTCAGATTCTCTTGTCTCACAGGGTGTTCCCTTGATGTATTACTCTCTGCCTTTTCCTATGGATGTGGTTTCCTGTGAGCCAAAGTGCAGTGATTGTTGTCTCTCTTCTGGGTCTAGCCACCCAGTAAGTCTACCCTCCTCTGGGCTGGTACTGGGGGTTGTATGCACAGAGTCCTGTGATATGAATAGTCCATGGGTCTCTCAGCCATGGATACCAGCACCTGTTCCATTGGAGGTGGTGGGGGCTGCAATGGACTCCATCGTGAGGGTTCTTAGCTTTGGTGGTTTAATGTCCTATTTTTGTGCTGTTTGGCCTCCTGCCAGGAGGTGGCACTTTCCACAGAGCATCAGCTGTGGTATTATGGGGAGAAACCAGTGGTGGGCGGGGCCCTAAAACTCCCAAGATTTTATGCCTTTTGTCTTCCGCTACCAGGGTGGGTAGCGAAGAACTATCAGGTGGGGGTGGGCTATGTTTGTCTGAGCTCAGACTCTCCTTGGGCTGGTCTTGCTGCAGCTGCTGTGGGGCATGGGGGTGAGATTCCCAGGTCACTGGAGTTGTGTACCTAGGAGGATTATGGCTGCATCTGCTGAGTCATGCAGGTTGTCAGGGAAGTTGGGGGAAAGCTGGCAGTCACATGCCTCACCCAGCTCCCACATAAACCGAAGGGCTGGTCTCACTTCCACCGTGCCCCTAACAACCGCCCCCAGACCGTTTCCAGGTGGAGAGCAATATGGGCTTGAAAACCTGCCCCAGGCTACCTGCCTCCCAGCTGGGAAAGAAAAGGGCTTAGTTCTTTCCCCACGGTGGAGTCTGCACACCTGATTTGCACCCTCCTCCCAGTTCTGGCCAGGAGGCTTCTCACCCTATTCAAATTGTTACAAAGTTCAGCTAGAGATTTCCTTCTCCCTATGGAGTTTTGGCCCTTTCTCCTCTGGTCACTCACTCAATGGATCCCTGTGGTGCCAGGCAGGAATGGGCTGCTAGGGGACACAGTGAGCTTCCAGAGCCTTTCTGCTGCTTCCTCTACCCCTGTATTTCACTCAGCTCTCCAAATTGACCCAGCTCCACATAAATTCAGAAACTTCTCCTGCAAACAGACCTTCAGCTTCTCCAGTGGGGGGTGTGTGTTCAGGAGAGGAGGGTCTCCCTTTCCCACTTCTGCAGTTGGGGCATGCACAGTTTTGGGTCGGCGGGGTGGGCCTCCTGAGTCCTGCAGGAGCAGTCTGCTTCCTTCAGGGGGTCTGTGTCCAGTTGAGCTTTCTTGGTTGGCACACATCAATGATGCTGGGAGCTTCAAGGTTGGAACCATACCAGTCCCAGAGTCAGCACTTGGCATCTCTTCCTTCGGCTGATTCTAATTTGTATCCTTCTGTTGTAATAAAACTGTAATTATAGGTATAGCACTTTCCTGAGTTCTGTGAGTCATTCTACTGAATTATCAAACCTGAGGGAGCCCGTGGACATTATTGGATTTATAACCAGCTGGTTAGAAGCAAGGGTGGCCCCAGGGACCCTTGAATTTGCAGCTGGTGTCTGAAACGAAGGCAGTCTTGTGGGTATTATTCTGTCTGACTTTGTAGTTTGGTAAACTCTTCACAGTTACTGTCAATGGTCTTAGGTGGACTTGGCCACCTGGAAGACCATAACCTCAATCTCTTTAACCTCTAGTTTGGCCTAACTAACTGCTGGTAACACCAAACCCTTAATCCACTTAGAGTTATCTGTTCCCCAAGTTTCATGCTCCTTCAGGCTGAGAAGCCAGAGTGGGAGAGTAGGGCCTGGTCCTAGAGGAAGAACTTTCTTTATCCTGCCAGCTCTAGCATTGTGTATTATTTGCCATTTCCCACTCCTCAGTTGTTATCCCAAATGAAGAAAGAATTCATGTCTGTTTTACGTGTTGCCATCTGGCATTGAAACGTTGCAATTTTTATGGCAGTATTCTTTGGCTCACTGATAATGACTTCTCCTCAGTCCCGGGGATGCTATTCCACTTTGCACCTCCTGGTTAGGGCCCTACCCTGGCTTAAGGTGAGGGAAAATGCCCTCCCTACTCCCATCATTTACTCTTTTCAAGAGAACCTTCTTTCTCAACTGGTTGGGTGCCATTCTTGTATGAGATATTGCTTCAAGAACCCATTTTACAATCTCTTAGCATATCTAACATATGTTATTTGTGGCCTACCTGAGATGGAATAAGTCCCATTTTAATATCTATTTACACTTGCAAATCACATGACCTTAGTCAAGTTACCCACCTTCTCTTTCTCTGAGCACCAATTTCTTCATCAGCAAAATTACTATTAAAAATGCCTTCCCTGAAGACCTCCTGGTGAGATTAGGTTAGAAATAAATATAGTAGGTACAACGGTCATTGTGCTTAGCATTAATGTTTTACATATTCTTAACTTTCTTTTTCCTTTCTGTCTGTGTAATGGATGCATACATACTATTTTCAGCAACCTCCTGACCTACCAAATAAAAATGCAAATTTAATAAATTTACAGACTGTTTTCCATAAACAAATATGTGCATATGTGTTACAAAGGGACAAGGGAGTTGGATTTTATTTTGTATACCCAAAATATGTATAAAATGTAAAAACAGAGCACTCAAAATCCCAATTTTTTCTACCCTAATCTTTCCCTTATCCTCATGACCAACACTGTGCATTTTTAATTAGTTATTTCAAGTTAAGCAATAAAAACAGGTGCACAACAATTTCCTATGTGAATATGAAAACAAGCATAATGTGGATATGAGTATAATCTTGCATTTTTATTCCCTTGCATTGGTAGTTTATATCAAACACATGAAGATGGAAATGGAAAATACATCATTGTACTTCCTCAAATCCCATCCCTCTGGGAGATTTTCTGGTTCCCATTCCCATGACTTTGGGATCTACAAAGTTCGTGGTCCTAGTGCCCAACGTGAGCATGGTTTCTCCATTGGCCATAGCAAGAGTCCCAGTAAATAATAAGGAATGGCTGCTGCCTTGGTGTTTTGACCTCCTTGTGTCCAAGAATGAGAAGACGAGGAAAAGAGTCACCACTTGTCAGTGGTAATTGACCATGATTGTCAGGAGGAGTTCAAGCTACTGTTACACAATGCTGGCAGGGAGAAATTCAGGTGACACTCAGATCCACTTAGGTGCCTCTTGGTACTGCCTTGCCAAGTTATGATAGTAAATGGATAAGTATGGCAATCCTGACCCCAAAATGCCATGGTGATCAGAAAGAGGCTCAGACCCCTTTGGCATGGTAAGCCAGGATATCAAGATAAGGCACTGCCATCAAGACCAGCAGAGGTGGTAGCTGAGGATGAGAGGAGTTTAAAATGAAGAATGTTAAAGAAAAGTAATGATTGCCAGTTGTGCCTCCAAGATCACCTACAGTAGTAAGAGCTATAGTTTAACCCTATAAAGAGCTATAGCCCTATAAGAGCTATACCCCTATAAGAGCTATAGTTTATAGTAAGAGCTATAGTTTAACTTTTCTCTTCCCAGTTTCCCCCAAGAAGAGAGGCCAACCAGAACTCTAGAAAGATTAGAAATAAATAATTGAATCTGAATGGTGCAAGATGTAGACTGGTGGGCCCAGAGATGTGCCAATCAGATTCCTCTACAAGGAAGAACTCATTGTCCCAGTTTTCATCAGATGACCTCCAGCTATCAGCTCCTTCAGGAGTTCCCAAAAGCCACCTCCCACATGGGCACATTCATTAGTCTTGGAGCTCTTCATATCCAGTGACTAACCAAGAGATAGCATAAAGGTCTGACTGTTTCAGTCAACCAAAAACAACTTGACAGGCATTATGTGTAACAGAGTTCCCCATGGGGTTGACCGGCCTGCATCCTGGTTTGACTTTCCCTCTGCCCAATTCTTCTTACTCCCCTTCCCTTTTACAGATATTTATCCCTAATAAATGCCTTGATGTTCAAACTCCATCTCAGCATCTGTTTCTGTAGAACTCAGTGCAGTATGGTTATTGCTTTTGGTTTTTTCTTCTTTGCAAAGAACAGAAACCAACTTGGGTTAACATTAGTCAATTGGAATTTACTGGGAGAGTATTAGGAACCACAGAGTCAGCAGAAAGGCAGGAGGACTAGAACTAAAGCAGCTCCAGAGGATCAGGAAGCAGGAACTACAGGAGTGGTCACAGCAGTAACAGATTAGGTACTGCTCTTGGAAGAAATAAACTCCAACTATTTTTGATCTCTACCCTTTTCTCAAGTTTTGAATTCCAGGGCAGGAGCATCCAATAGCCTAGGGGAGTGAAGAGTACCTGATTGTCCCAGCAGACTCTATTCAGTGGGAAAGAAGTAACTCTTTAGAAGGACTTCAGAGTGCTGTTAAAGAGATGAAGTGGCTGTAGAGAAGGCAGGAAAAAACATCTGATGTACTCCATACTTTTATATACCCATCCACTCTTCTTCCCATATATACATTTCCAAAATAATAATAATTTGTTGTTATTTCATAACAACATAAGGAATGTATGATGATGATAATGATGATGATGACAATTACTATTGTTATTTCAAAGTTGAGATACTCAATGCAAAGACAGTTTAAGTAACCTGAAAAATGACATATGACCAATAACTGGTACTTACTAAATTAGCACAGCCCACTTCAGATTGGGAATAATATGTTTTGCAAGTGAAGTAATTTTAATCACTGCCATCCTTACTTCTGCCCTTTGGTCCTTTGATCCATGAATGCAATGGCAATAGTAGTTGTCTTCAAGAGTGCAATTAACATCTTAACTTAAAATAATCTAGTTTGGTTTAAGACCAGCTTGATTTCAATCATTTCCAGAAACTTTGTTCCAGTATACTTCCATAGCCTCCCACATTCTTTGCGCTATTATTGTCATATGCACTATTTATACTTACTAAATCCATCAACATAATTTTATAATTATTCCTTTATGCAGTTGCTCTTAAATAAAAAAAATACAAACAAAAATATATTTATAGTTTTTTATATTTCCTATGCATTTACCTTTACCAGTGCTCCCTTTTTTCTTCATGTTGATTCAAATTACCATCTACTATCCTTTTTTTCAGTCTAAAGAATCCTGTTTAGAACTACTATTTAGCATTTTTCAAGGCACCAATCTACTAGTGACAAATTCTCTCTAATTTTTTTTTTTTTTTTTTTTTTTTTTGAGATGGAGTCTTGCTCTGTTGCGCAGGCTGCAGTGCAGTAGTGTGATCTTGGCTCACTGCAATCTCCACCTTCCTGATTCAAGCAATTCCCCTACCTCAGCCTCCCAAGTAGCTGGGATTGATTACAGGCACACGCCACCAAGTCTGGCTAATTTTTTTTGTATTTTTAGTAGAGGTGGGGTTTCACTATGTTGGTCAGGCTGGTCTTGAACTCCTGACCTTGTGATCCACCTGCCTTGGCTTCCCAAAGTGCTGGGATTACAGGTATGAGCCATCGCGCCCGCCCAATTCTCTCTAATTTTCTAAGACTGAGAATGTCTTAGTTTCTTTTTCATTTCTGAAGGAGAGTTTTGCTGGATGTAGAATTCTTGGCTGAAAGTCTTTTTCTTTCAACAGTTTGAAGGTGTCATCCCACTGTCCTTTGGCTTCAGTGGTTTCTAATAAGTCACCTGTTAATTTTATGGAAAGTCCGTTGTATGATGTAAGTTCTTTTTCTCTTGCTGCTCGCGAGATTCTCTCTTTGTTAGTAATCATTAATTTGACTGTGATGTTTCTTGGTGTGGTTTTCTTAATGTTATTCTATTTAGAGGTTATTAAGTATCTTGGATGTCTAGATTAATGTTTTCATCAAATTTGGGAAGTTTTCAGCCTTCATTTCTTCATATAGTTTTCTTCTCATTTATCTTTCCTCCCTCTTTCTGGGACTCCTGTTAAGCATATGTTGATGTGCTTAATGGTGTTGCACACACCTCTGAAAATCTTCATTTTCTTACTGTTTTTATTGTCTTTCTGTTTCTTAGGCTGGATAATTTCCATTGATCTTTCTTCAAGTTCACCAATTCTTTCTTCTGCCAGGTCAAATTTGTTGTGAAGTCCCACTAGTGAATTTTTCATTTGTTATTGTACTTTCAACACCAGAATCAATTTCTATTTGATTCTTTTATTAGAAAAATTTTCTATCTTAGTTGACATTTCTTATTTTGTGGGACATAGTCATCATCATACTTTCTTTTCTTTCTTTCTTTTTTTTTTTTGAGATGGAGTTTTGCTCTTGTTGCCCAGGTTGGAGTGTGATGGCACAATCTCGGCTCACTGCAACCTCCGCCTCCCAGGTTCAAGCTATTCTCCTGCCTCAGCCTCCCAAGTAGCTGGAATTATAGGCATGTGCCATCACGCCCAGCTAATTTTGTAGTTTTAGTAGAGATGGGGTTTATCCATGTTGGTTAGGCTGGTCTGAAACTCCCGACCTCATGTGATCCACCCGCCTCGGCCTCCCAAAGTGCTGGGATTACAGGCATGAGCCACCGTGCCCAGCCATAGTCACCATACTTTCTTATGATTATTTAACCATAGTTTTTTAGTTCTTGGGTCATATTTAAAGTCTTCATTTTCTGGCCGGGCGCAGTGGCTCACACCTGTAATCCCAGCAGTTTGGGAAGCCGAGGTGGGCGGATCACCTGAGGTCAGGAGATCGAGACCATCCTGGTTAACACGGTGAAACCCTGTCTCAACTAAAAGTATAAAAAATTAGCCGGGCGTGGTGGCAGGCACCTGTAGTCCCAGCTACTCGGGAGGCTGAGACAGGAGAATGGCATGAACCCGGGAGGCAGAGCTTGCAGTGAGCCGAGATCGCGCCACTGCACTCCAGCCTGGGCGACAGAGCAAGACTCCGTCTCAAAAAAAAAAAAAAAAAAAAAAAAATCTTCATTTTCTAGCTCCAACATATGAGCTCCCCCAGGGATATATGCTGTTGGCTGTTTTCTTTTTCCCTGTGTGTGGCATACTTTCCTATTTCTTCATGTCTTGTAAATTTTGTTGAAAACTGGACATTTCAGTTAGAACATTGCAATAACTCTAGTATCTGATCCCTCTCTGATAATAGCTGGTTTTCCTTGCTCATTTTGTTGTTGTTAATATTGTTGCTCTTGCTGTTGCTGCTTATTTGTTTGATGACTTTCCTGGACTAATTCTGTAGATTTTGTATTTCCTGAAGCGTATGGCCATAGCCACTGAGTTCTCTGCTTAGCATTTATTTCCCTTAAATTCTTGTTTTTATTTTGAAACCTATGGAGCACTCTTGTGTCAAAATAACTTGGGCAGGCATCCAATGATCAACCAGAACATTTTTTTAATGTCTTGCTTATTCCACCCTTGCCGAGGAGATCTGTGTGTGAAGGCATGCTTTCAAACTTTAGTCAAAGCATGTAGTATAAGGGTTTTTTTGTTTGTTTTTTAATATTCTACTCAACTTATTTTTATTATTGCTTTTTAAAAATCTCTTTGCTTAAAATTCTGTCATGTTGAGTATAAAATCAATACCTTTAAGACACATTTGAATTATCAAAGCTTAAGGAATCCCGAGTGCTCTCATCTGTGGTGTGTGAAAGGTATTTTGTTACTTTTGGAGAAGCCAGGCAGCCAAACTGCTTTTGAAAAATTCACCTTTGAATTAATTAAAAATACACAAATATATTAATCTATAATAGTTGCAAGTCAAACATGTGAACTGATAAGAATAATTCAGTCTAGTACTTGACTTAAAAACATTTAGTTCCTTTGCAAATAGCCATCTAAAAGGTAACAAAATAATCTACTAGTCTTGGAGTTGAGAAGTCAGATGGTCATGGTAAATTTCACTGTCAGAAGCCATACTGCAAAGCATTGGCTTTGCAGCAGACTTAGAGATGCTTGGGGAGTGGAGCATTCAAAAGATACCTCTAGCACAAATGTCCACTGTCTGCATGTGAATGTGTACATTCTCTCCCTAGTTTCTGCCTTATGGACTTTCATGTTAACCATGTCTCTGGAATGGTTAGTGTATCTCCCTTTGCACTTTCCCTCTCAGGATTTGCATATTTTGTGTTGGTATGCTGGGACCAATGACCTTTACCTTCAACACATAAAATTGCTTCCTTCTATCTCTTAAACTCTCTGACCCAAACACGTATTATTATTTTTAAAATTGTGTATACCCTATAGAACAGATGTTATTTGAGTTCAGCTTTCTACCAGGGAATGAATTCCCTCAAAGTTACTCATCTATGCTCCCTGGATCCCAGTAGAGTAGCACTGGAATTGTCTTCCTGATTGCCTTAGCATTAAATGATATCATAACTGTTTATGGGATGCTTGTTATTACACAGAGTATATTTAACAATTTTATCTTCCTTCACATATTACATGTATTTCTCATGATACAAAAGGATATTAAATTATGTTTATTTAAATACTAATACTCAGATATATAATAAAAATAGACCAGAATATGAACAGGCAGCTACTAGTAGTTAAGAGAATGCAGATTAAAATAATAACAGCTTACCCATAAGACTGCTAGAAATGAAACAATAGTAATACCTACTGCCAACAGGGATGTAGGAAAAAGGGTAGAAATGTGAATTGTATGCTTTTTGGAAAGACACCTGCTAGTGTCTATTAAAAATTTAAAAGGCACATGTCTTCAAACCCAGTAATCCTACTCTGGGGAAATCATTACATAGAAATAAAAGCATTAGTAAGTTATGTATGTAAGAATGATTATTCCAGATTTTATCATGATGAAAGACTGAAACAAAGAGAATAATATTCAGTAGGGAAATGGTTGAGTAGATTGCAGAACATTCCTACCATGGGGTATTGTACAACCATAAAAGAGAATGCACTAGAGCCCCATAACGTCAATTAGAAGAATTTCAACAAAAATATCAAGTTGCAGAAACACGTATACAGTCATTGCTCAGTTTCCGCAGGAAACTGGTTTCAGGACCCCCTGCAAAATCCACAGATGCTCAAGTCCCTTATATAAAATGGCATATCATTTGTACATAACCTATGCACATCCTCCCATATACTTTAAATCATTTCTAGATTACTTATAATACCTACTACAACGTAAAAGCTATGTAAATAGTTGTGGTATTGTATTTTTATTGTTGTATTGTTATTTTTTTAAAAATATATATCTGTGGTTGGTTGAATTCTCAGATGTGCAACCCATGGATATAAAGGGCTGGCTGTATTATGTAATTTCAGTTTTTTAAAATGAACAGCGAAATAAAACCTCATATATATATGATTTTGTGAGCATGGAGATATACATGGAAAGATATGCATGAGTTTTATGGTATAGATAACCTAGAGACGGGAAAAAGGAAAAGAAGAAAAGAGAACAGGAAGAACAAAGTTTAGGGAAAAAAAACTTGAAAAATTAAAGTTTTGCAAAAGTAGTATATTTCATATGACATAAATTATATAATATTATGTATGCATGGGCACATGTGTTTGCGTAAAGACATGCACTAACAGAAATAATCAGCAAATGGTGAATATGGTTTTCTCTAACGGTAGGATGATTTCAGGCAATTCTCCATATTGTTTTTGCACTATTTGAGCTTTTTAAATGACTATGTATAATTTATGTAAAATATACATATAATGTAAAATAATTTTCTTGTGAAACAGAAATGTCAGTTATTATGAGAATCATTTTTCCATATCTACTATATACATATTTAATGCTCCCACACCATTTTTTAAAAATGGATGAATCTAAACCTATTTACCGGCAATCTATGCATTGTGTTCTGGCTTACTCACTCTCCACACTCTGATTATCTGGACTACAGTACTTATTAATTTACTTGTCTTCTCTGTTTGTTTTTGAACCCATTGTTCTAGTTACAGATCTGTCAGATTGAATCTCCAACTTCTTAACTCTGGCTTCATTGTCTACAATGTGGCTTGCATAGTACGACTTCTGCTGTACTATATTCATATCTACCCTAGCTATAATATCACACATAGTTTTATAATAATATATAGTCCCCCAAAATTTCCTCCAAAAATCTCTTTATTAGCCTCTTAAAACTGATCTTTGTTCCTTTCAACATCAGCTCCCCTCATCTCCAAACCTCTGTAGTCCAGAAAGAAAAAAGATGACTGCCAATACCCCATTGTAACGTATCCCTTTGAATGTTGTCTAAATTGTCTTGAGCTTTATTCTCTGTCTCTCTCTTTCTCTCTTCCTCCCTGTATCTCTTTCTTATCTTTCCTCTTTCTGTCTTTTCTCCAGCTACTGTGGCTTCTTATGACGGCCTACACCATCCAAGAAGTATTTTTGTGATGTTGGACCTAGATACGGGATCATATTGTATTACATTTGATCTTCTTGATTTATTGATTAATGGGAGATTTTCTTCTTCATTTATTTTAATACATCCCCTTTTTTTTTTTTTTTTTTGAGATGGAGTCCCACTCTGTCACCCAAGCTGGAGTGCAGTGGCATAATACCGGCTCACTGCAACATCTGCCTCCCAGGTTCAAGCAATTCTTGTGCCTCAGCCTCCTGAGTTGCTGGGACTACAGACACCTGCCACCATGCCCAGCTAATTTTTGTATTTTTAGTAGAGATGGGGTTTCACCATGTTGGCCAAACTGGTCTTGAACTCTTGACTGCAGGTGATCCACCTGCCTCGGCCTCCCAAAGTGCTGGGATTACAGGTGTGAGCCACCACGCCTGGAAGATCACCTTAACTAGATAGTAATTTCCTTAAAATGTCCAAGTCTTTTGTTTTTCTACAGTCATCTGAGTATTATACATTCTAACTAGCAATCCTTTAATATTCTTTACCTATTAACTAAACGGTAGGTGTATTTGACCAATGGTATATGTGAAATATATCTTTGGTGCTATTCTGCACTGAATCTTTAATCCCAGTATATCTATAATTTTAATGCCCTTATATCAATATAATCCAAATGTAGAAATGACCCCTGAAATTATTAGTATTTAGATATAATAACAAATACAATGTTATGCTTTACTTTTCTCTTTTTGTAATGTAAAGTAACACATTTCAAATATTAGCAGACTGGTGCACTAGAAGCAAAGAGGAAAACTTGGCACAGAAGTTTCTCAGGTGGGAAGATCAGATCCTAGCAAATAATATTCTAAATATGTAAAGTATGAAGAAACAAAAAAGTTAAGGAAGTTCTAGATTGAATAAAAATAAATTTTTCATATTAGCCCCTAGGGCTGAAATATTAATAAAGAGAGGAAGTCATAATATAGTTTATGTCAAAGATAGCCCATGAGGTTGTAAGGGTATGGTAAATGTGTATAAGTGAGATTCCTTTTAAAAAGAGGGGATTTTATCTCTTGACGGTAAACTAAAATTGCCATTAGTCAAATGTGAAAACTTTTTCACATTTTTGTTGTTCTGTTGTTGAAAAGTACTGTGTTTTGTATTTTGTTGTTGAAAAGTTTTGCAGTACTTACTGCACATTACTTGCCCATGAAAAACCACTTCTTACTACATTAATCATCCTTTGCTCTTATGAAATACTTAGATGTACTTTTCATTTTAACTTACAGCAGTATCCAATTATTTCTATTTCTGGAAAAGCACATAGCATGAAAGACAGTTTTCAAAGCCAAGAACATGAAATAGATACAGTGCAGTTTAAACAGCCATTTTTTTCTCTTTTATATCTATAGAGAAAGAAATATATAAATATGGGAAGGAAAGAGACTGGGTATAAAGGGGAGAAAGCAAAAGCAATTATATACTATTCTGGGGAAACTATGCCATTAAAAAAAAAGTTTTAATAATTCCAAAAACTTCTTTTCAAGTTTGAACATCTCTCATGCCCTGCCTATACCTTTTCAGTTAATTCAAAATAAATTGTGCCTTTACCAACTTTTTTAAGGGTGATTACATGTAATTATTAAAATGTATGTGCTTGTGATATCTATCAGAAATAAAGAGGATGGAAACCAAGCAAAACTTACTGGAAATAGATAAGAATAACTGACAGAGGACACCTAGTGGAGTGAAAAGTAGTGACATATTCTTCTGCAGTACAAGGTTTGTTCCTCCCAGGTACACAAGAGGACTTAGAATAGATTGTCAGGTGGTCGCCATTCAACAGAGCAAGAGATGCCACAGAGAGAAAAGTCAATAAACAAAATATTATTTGATTTCTATATGTGAACTTGTCCCAAATCTTTTAAAAATGTATAGTCTGGCTGAAAGTTGTAGAATATCTCATTACACAATAGATGGTCCTATAACAAACAAACAAAAACTTGCCTCACACTAAAAAGTGTGAGATTTATGTCAATTTTTAAAATAACAGATGCACTCAGTAATTCCATAAAATAATCTTCTCATTGTTATACGTTATCACTGTGCATATGATGAACTAGGATACTGGGAATAGAAGAATGAATAAGACATAGCCAGGTCCTGTAAGGTAGAGGAAGCAGACATGTAAAAAAGTTGGTGATATGAAGTGTTCAAAGTCCTGTAACAGAAGTAAGGCTTACTTGTTGGGGAAGCGAAGTCAGGAAGTGCTTCCACAGAGAAGGCAAGTTTTGTTTGCTTGTCTGTCTTAGGACCATCTTCTGTGCCATCAGCCTTGTTGGATGCCTGTTCACTTCATAGAACTAGGAAGAAGAGATGTTGTATTGTTGCTCCTCATTCTGGCTGCATTAGCCTGGCTATCTAACCATAGAGACTTATAATTAAGTTTTTCCTAGGTCTTCTTAAAACTAGTTTAGTCAACTATCACTTTATTCCAAATGCATAGAAAGAATAGATAAAATATATTTTTTAAAGTTTATATATTTGGTTGGAAAAAGAAAGAGCACTACCCAGACAAATTAGGAATCTTGCCATATCTCTGCCACTAGCAAGTAATGTGTTTTGGTGATATCATTGAAATACCACCAGTCTCAATTTTAGTTTAGGTCAAATGAGGGTTTGGGATATGGTGCTATCTGAAGCCCCTTCTAATTGTAAGAATTAAATGGCATACACTCATGATGTCTAACCTATCTGCAGTGGTTGAAAATATGTCTACAAATTCCTTTTCCATCTTCCCTTCAAAAAGTAAAGCCTAATTCCCCTCCCCTTGTGTATGGACCAGGCTTCTAAAGCATCAAATGAAGTAGGAGTGACAGTGCCTGATTTCTCAAACCAGGTAATAAAAGGCACTGCAGCCTCTTCCTGGACATCATTCTTAGATCTCTATGCTGGGGAAACCAACTACCCTGTCATGAGAATACTCATGTAGCTCTATGGCAAGGCTCATATAGCAAGAAATTGAGGCCTCCAGCCAACAACCATGTAAGTGAGCCATGTTGGAGATCCTCCATCCTTAGTCAAGCCTTGATATGACTGCAGCTCCAGCCAGCATTTCAACTGCAGCCTCATTGGAGAACCTGAACTAGAACTACCCATTAAATTGCAGCAGAATTCTTGACCCACAGAAACTTTTAAATAAGTAAACGTTTTGTTTAAAGCCTCTAAATGTTATGGTAGCTTGTGATCCACTGGATAGATTGCAGAAACACCAGCCCTCAAATCATCTCATCCTTGGCTGATGACCCAACCCATAATTTCTGGCACTCAAATTCCAGTGAACAATAATATAGATGCAGAATTGTTTTCTCTTTAAAATTCTTTTTAAAGGAGGCAGAACATAAATTTTCTACTCCCATTTCTGCCACAAGTTAATCTTAACATTCACCCTCCCCCTCTGCCTTCCTATGCCTAACTGTATCATTGCAAAAAGCCCCAGTTGCCATTTGTAGCT
The DNA here is from genome assembly GCF_000001405.40 of Homo sapiens. Lineage (NCBI taxonomy): Eukaryota > Metazoa > Chordata > Mammalia > Primates > Hominidae > Homo > Homo sapiens. Next base: position 89,597,001 of record NC_000004.12, on the reverse strand, counting down.
TACACAGCTCTTTTCACTACCATATTCCATCTTTACAATTTAAGAAAGCAAATGTGGACAATCACCAAGCATCACTTCCTTGCAATTCCCTCAGCTTTTTCTGCAGCTTCAGTCAAAGTATACACTCCGCAACCCAGGATGAATTTTTATACTTCCGTAGATACTTCTATTCCCTAGAACTCTTGACCAACAGGTCTAACTCAAGAATCAAGGACATATGGCAAGAGACTCAAATTATTTTTATAGTCTCCCAAGGTAAATATGAACACTAAATGGATTAATGGCACTGGATTAAAAGGCAAAAATGATGCAGTAGAGTGCCACATCTGTAACCAATGATCTGATCCTATGATTGAGTCATAGCACTACTATTTACTTGCTGCCTGAATATAAACAATTTATTAAACTGCTCTGAGTTAAACTTTCCTCATCAGAAAAATGAGAGTATCAATATCTACTTTATAGAGTGGTTCTAAGAATTTAGGAAATATTAAACATAAAAAGTATTTTTAGTTGTTTTTTAGCTGTAAGGACTTTTTAGTTGTTTATTATGATTATATGAAGCATCTCATGAACACATATAAGTAACTTAAAAATTGATCAAATTCCCAGGTCTAAGAGACTTGCAACATTGACAACTCTATTTCTTCTTTCAATGCAATGGAAGTACAGCATGCATATGAAAGGCATCTAGAAAGCTAAATTTCAGAGTGCTACCACCCAGATACATAACCTTGAATAAGTTGCTTATCTCCTCAGGGCCAATGTTTTCTCATTGGATGCTGGTAATCATTAAATAACATTTAAATGGAGAAGGAAGAATTGTAAAAGTAGGGAAAATAATCAATATAATATTTTAAAGTGCTGTATTAAGATAAAACATATTTATTCAGCAATTATTTCATTTGGACTAGTGAGTGTGAAAATGTTCTTATTCATCTGCTTTGATAAATAGTCTGATGGTGTCTAAGGATTCATTTTCTTTGTAGTTTCATGCAGTTGAAATGAGTTTGCTAGTCACCTCTTGAAACCTATGAAGTTTTAAAATCAGTCATTCAGAATATGAAGATTCAGTCTAGTGAGGCTATTAAACTCTATGACTTTTAAATGTTAAAATCACCAAAGCACCTTTAATTTTACTGGTAATGAAATATACAACCTTTAATACTGGATATTCAGTATTCATATTAAATCATAATAAATATTCATGGTGAACCATAAGTCACCTGATATTGCAAATGGTCATTTATTTTGTCATTTATATACCACTGTTAGATCTGATAGGATAATGTTTATAATTTATTAAGCAATATGACACAAGAAAATGTCCAATTCCACACTATTTCCATATTAGTAGCAATGGATGTTGCCAGGGCATGGTGGAGTATAAATTATTTCTCAATTTCAGCATGATGTTACCGCAATAAAATGCCCCACGGCTAAGAAAGTCATTAGCATGAACCGTACAACAAGCTTGTCATACATAACACACACACACAGACACACACGCCACACAAAATTAGAATACTTAGTATTATAAACATAAAAGAAATAAAAAGAAGTAAACACAAAGCAGACAGTCCTCTGATTTACAGCAAACACAGGAGGGAAGGATGCAAGTTTAGCTCTTTTATAGCAAGTTAAATACATTTCCCTCGTCTACAAAGGAGCATAGTTCAAAGTCAGGTCAGCCAGGCCAACTTGTAACTTAAAGGAATTAGAAAACATAGATCTTTTTTAAAAAGCTACTGCTACCAGTGGGTGACTATGTGACTAATAAAAATGGAAGGCCTCATTAATTTTATTTAACTGTTAATCACCAGATGTTGTGAGCCATATGGAAAAAAATTTAATTTAATGTTTTCGGAGATATGAACGGTGTGTACGTGTTTGTGTGTGTGTCTAAGTACAGTAAAAATAGATATTTAGATCCTTGTAAAGGGATTTTGTTTTATCAGCTCTTTTATTTAAACGGTAGATAGAGAAGCACTACATTTGTGATAATATCACATTAGCACTACATAATATTTTTTAGCTTACAATATATATTCAAAGGCACCATTTTACCTGATTTTTACAAGAGTACTATTTTCACAATTTTATTACAGAAGAAACTGAAGTCCAGAGAGCTCAGAGTCACAAAGCTAGCAAGTGAAAAGACCACGGCTGGAACCCAGGAGAGCCTCACTTTTCACCAAAGTCTATGAGAAAAAGTGGAGGAGAGGCATATCATCGAACTCATTTCCCTGGTGCCTTAGAAAAATGTATTAGGTTACTTCTTACCACCCCATATTTCAATTATTCCTCCCCTTACAAAGGGTGCTAGTTCATAGTCTTGTCCTCCTATTGCGGCTACCTGGAGAAAGAAGATATGGCTTACTGATTCATTCAATGAATTTTTGTAGTACTTACCATATGCCTGGAAATGTGTTGAGTACTGCAGATATGTCAGTGAATAAAACAATATACCTGAATTCAGGTTACATTTGTTCATAGTCCACTAAATGATAGGGTGAAACACTTTTTGCATTACAACCCTGAGAGTTCAGAATTCCTCTACTAACCCTTTCCAAAGACGTAAGGAGGAGCAAAGACAAATACACCAAGAGGGCAGGGACGTTATGGAGATAACAGAATCTGTTATGTGTGGAGTTTAAAACTCAAAGTATACATATAGTTTCTTATTCACATTTTCTCACCTTCCTCTTTTATTTCTTCTTTCTCTTTTACTCTTCCCAAATATCAGCCAACACTTCTATTTTATCTCATCTAACCAAAGTGAGTATTGTGTATGTTCAGTCATCAGGGGTTTAGAAGACCAAGTCCCACCTAAAGAATGAAGCTTCTTCTTTGAGAAGCCTCTAGTAGTGATACCTGAAACTGCAAGAGATTTTGACAATTTCCTTGGTACAAGTCAAGGTCTGGTTTCCTAAGGCTTGGGATTACTTTCTAAGTTTGAACCTGGGTCATTTCAGAATGTCAAACTGCAAGGATAGCTACACATATGAGTGAAGTTCCACAGAGAGTATGAACTCATAGTGCTCAGAAAGCTCATCATATAATCTCAATTAAAAACTTCACCTGGCCAGGCTGTCTTGAAATTCAACCTCAGTCATTTTAGTGTAATGATCTGACTCTCCTGGTCTTATCTGTTAGCAAGACATTTGGGGAGGCCATTCCAATTGTAAATCATCTGTGCTTATTACCAGAGAAACTTCCCTTGTTTACTGTCTCCCAACTTCTGTGGGCCCAACTATATCAATAATAACATTAAGTGTGACTGCGTTAAATAATGCAAAGCAAAGTCTGAAATTATCAGGGTAGATAAAAAAGCAAGATCCAACTATATGCTGTCTATAAGAGAAATATTTTTGATTCAAAGATACAAATAGGTTGAAAATGAAAGGATGTCAAAAATTCAACCAACAACCAAATAAGGCTGGAAGGTTTATTCTAATATCTGACAAAATAGGTTTTTAAACAACAACAAAAAGAATTGATACTATAGATAAAGAGAGTCTTATTTTTTCTACACCCACAGCTGTGAGATGAGAGACATTTTATGATGCAAGGAGTTCAATACATCAGGAAGATAAAAGAATTATAAACATGCATACAACTAACAACAGAGCACCAAAATGCATGAAGCAAAACCAGAATTGAAAAAAGAAATGGGCATTTAAAGAATGGTAGTTGGACACTTCAATGCCCACTTTCAATAATGAATAGAACAACCAGGCAGAAGATCAATAAGAAAATAAAATATTTGGAAATACTGTAAACCAACTAGACCTAAAAGACATCTATAGAACACTCCACCCAACAACAGGAAAATATTGTTCGTCTCAAGTGCACATGGAATATTCTCCAGAATAGACTATATGTTAGGCCCCAAAACAAGCCCTAATAAATTTAAAATGATTGAAAATATACAAATATGTTCTCTGACAGCAATTGAATGACTTTAGAAATTAATAGTACAAAAAATTTTGAGAATTCACAGATATGTGGAAATTAATCAACACACTCCTAAATAACCAATAGGTAAAAGAAGAAACCCCAAGGAAAATCAGAAAATAATTTGAGATGAATACAAATTAATATACAATATGACAAAAGTTATGTGATGCAGTTTAAACAATGCTTAGAGAGAAATTTGTAGCTGTAAATGTCTATGTTCAAAAAGAAGAAAAATTTCAAGTCAATATACTAACATTCCACTTTAATAGACTGGAAAAAAAACAGTGAACTATACTTAGTGCAAGTAAAAGAAAAGAAAGAGTAGAGATTGGAGTGGAAATTAATTAAACATAAATTAGAAAAATAATAAAAAACAACAAACTGAAAGTTGTTTCTTTGAAAAGAGCAACAAAATTAACAAACTTTTAACTAGTTTGACTGAAAAAAGAAAAAAAAGATTCAAATTACCAAAATCAGGAATGAAAATTATACCTTACAGAAATTTAAAAGAAAAAAAAATTGTAAACAAAGATACTATGAACTATTGTAAGCCATCAGATTAGATAATCTAGATTAAATAGATAAATTCTGAGAAAAATACCAATTACCAAAAATATCTAAAGAAGAAATTTTTAAAAATTGATCAAACTATAGCAAGTAAAGAGATTGAATTAGTAATGAAAAAAATAAAACTTTGCACAAAGAGAAGCCCAGATCCAGATGGCTTCATTGTTGAATTCTACCAATTATATAAGAATTCTTCACAAACTCTTCCAAACAACAAAAGAGGAGGTAACACATCCCACCCATTCTATAATGCTAACATTTGCCTTATATCAATACAAAATGCATCACAAAAAATATAAATCGGTATCTTTTATGAATGTAGATGCAAAATCCTCAACAAAATACTAGCAAACTGACATGGTTTGTATCTGTGTCCCCACCCAAATCTCATGTCAAATTGTAATCCCCAGTGATGGAGGAGGAGCCTGATGGAAGGTGATTAGATAGTGGGGGTTGTTTCTCATGGTTTAACATCATCCCCCTAGGTGGTGGTGTGGTGAGAATGAGTTATCATGAGATCTGGTCATTTAAAAGTGTGTATCACCTCCCCCCCTCTCTTTCTTTCTCTTGCTCCTGCCATGTAAAATGTGCCTGCTTCCTCTTCACCTTTCACCATGATGGAAAGTTTCCTGAGGCCTCCCCAGAAGCCGCTATGCTTCCTGTACAGTCTGCAGAACTGTGAGACAATTAAACCTCTTTTCTTTATAAATTACCCAGTCTCAGGTATTTCTTTATAGCAATGTGAGAATGGACTACCACACAAACTAAATTCAGAAACATATGGAAAAGATTATAAATCGTGAACAAGTGATATTTATCTCAGGTGTGAAACGTTTTTTTAATATCCAAAAATCAATTAGTGTAATATACCATTTCAGTAGAATAAAGGACAAAAACCACGTTTATCTCAATTGATGCAGAAAAAGCATCTGACAAAATTCAACATCCCTTTATAATGAAAACACTCAATAATTTAGGATAAAAAGAAACTTCCTCACCTTGAGAGAGTCCCTTTCCAACTCCTGGGGTCACCCAGGGCCAGAAGTACCTTTGGGATAAGGTGTCCTGATTCAGACCAGGACCCTTGTTACTGGTCCCCTTTTTCCCTTTCAGGGTATTGTCCAACTCTCCCACCACCACAACCACCACTGCCACTGTGATGCATGAGGTCCACTATGGAGTTATCTGGCAGTCTCTTGGCCCAGTTTTAGAAGAGTGACCTGGTGAAACGATTACTCACACTGACCAGCATGAGAATTTGTTCATAGTACTGGGCTGCCAGTTTGGTGCTAATGTGCCCATATTGAGTGATTCTCACTAACAGCACACAAAGGACAACTTCAGGGCTCTAAGCTACCGAAAGTCCACCATGCTCTTCAGGCTTGAGCCACATATGTGGGTCCATAGATTGTTTCTCACCCTTCCATATTTCAGCTGCTGATGACTATAGGTTCACTTCCTAGTTTATAGCTCCCAAGAACCATGGTTGTAGCAGTAGATGTCCTTTACTCTGTGAACCCCCTTATCGCTGGCACCCAGAGCAGTCACCCCATCCTCTCTGAAGGCTTCATGCCATGCATCAGGCAGTCCTCCAGATGTGGCCACATCTATGTCCTCCCTTCTGATTTATGTTCTGTCTTTCTCATAATCAGTGTGGTGCCATTGTACTCTCCTCAGTCAGCCTTAAGCCATACCAACAATAATATAAACACTTCTTATATGAATAGGATAATTCTTCTTTTTCAACCCACAGAGCCTTTGCCTATTTTCCCCACTGGTAGGTTGTGTGAAGAGGGGAAGCTTGCAACCAACATTTAGAGAGATCACATTCTGGGGATGTTGTGATTACTACCTAAAGAGTTCTAAAGGAGACATGCCCTTGCATTGATCCTATCAAATTCTGAACAGTGAATGTAACATGAGCAGGAAACAAATTACTCTTCACACTTTCCTGAACACCCTAGCTAAAACTTGTATGTGTAGTTGTCATCAATAAAGCACAGTAGCAATGTCTGAGACTGTTGCTGGAAGCCAGTATTCACCGGCAGCACTGTGAGGGGATGAGACTACAATGGATTTCTCAGGATTCCTGTAAGGAAACCTGCCTTGCTGGGGTTTCTCACAGACCATGAGAATTAGAGCTGTCACCATTTGTCCAGTTAACTGCTCAGATACAGCCCAGACTAGGTTCCTAAGTTAAACCCCAGAGTGTCAGGATGACTGCCTGCCGTCTCTCTAGTATTTACATTTGAAGGAGGAATGAGGCACTAGGAACTTGGAGACTTTTATAGACTGCAAAAGCAGAGGCACTGGGGATTATCTGACATGACACCTGGAGAGATTTTATTTACATGTCAAACATTGGAGTTAGGTTTTGGGCCTATGACTTTTCCAAGGAGGGGGACAAATCCCTGCTTTCTTGGAGCAGAGAAAAATTACTTTTCCCTAATCTATCACCTATGGAGTGTCTCAATCTTTGTGTAAGATATTTGATCAGGCCCTGATTGTGTCACCTCAGGGATAAGCACTGGGGCAAGGGACTGGAAAATGCCAGTCCCAGTTGAACAGCTTCTGGGGATAGTTTCCTAGGTAAAAACAAGTTAATTTTTTTCATAAAAATTAAACTTTTCAGAATATTGCCAATAAAGGCAATCATATTCCAACAAACTGGTTTTGAGACAACATTTCCTGGATTTCTATGAAATGGTAGAACTAACAGAGAAAATGTAAATGGATATAGAATTGAAGAGTGATATGCAGCAAATAACTTTCCTAAAACAAAATCTTCAAACAGCTCAAAAAGATGGAATGAAGCATGAGCATTTTAATTTATTCTGACAATATAGTAGTTCTTCAAGTTCTACAGAGCTTCATAGTTTTCATACTCATTACTGCATCAAGAAAAATCACTTAAAGACTGAACTTCAGTTTGTCATCTGTAAAATGGGCATAATCACATCTACCAGAGCTGTAAGGGGGATACAAAAGAATGTGGGTAAAGTATTTGACATACCCCCTAGTGTAAAGTGCTCAATAAATTCTAAGCAAACTAAAATGTCAGAGTTAAATGACTGCCTTAACACAAATTGCTAATGATAAAAGTTTATTCACAGTTTGTTAGAGACAAAGTCAGAATCAGAATTGCTGATTGTTTTCTTTTATGTCATGAGTATAAGTATTGGATTCTAGAGCTCCTACCAGCTCAGACCTGTTTGTACTTATTTATGAGAGCCAACTGTGAACAACACTTCCTAACCCTCCATTTGATAACATCATGTTTGTAACTTGAAATCGACCATGAGAAGATTATCTACACCACAGAAATTAGCAAATGCTACTAATCAAGGATTATGTTTATAGGGGATCCAGTTATTAAATATGCACCAGCATACCACTAATCTAGCTTATAGAACTGGACCCAATGGCACAGGTAGTATTCGGTTCAATATCATGAATGTGATGCAGACATCCGCTCTCTGAGAAACCACTAAGGATTTCAAGTCACAGGTCCCACTACAGTTAATATAGTTTCCAATGTGTACTTAATTACCTAGAGGCAGCGTCCAAACTGGGTGATTCTCACTCCATAAGTCACTAGAGGTCTTTTTTTAAGTCTTATAGTATTTGTTTTCTGAGCATTGCCTTTCCCTATATTTCTTGAAGGCAGAATAAAAGGCCTTCAGAAAAATCAGAGCATTGATTTTTATTTCCATCTCTTTTATGTTGGCAGTTCAGTGAAGCTTCCTCCCTAGGCAGAATTAATCACTCTGGCCTCTGTGTTCCCTAGCATTTTGCTCACTGTTAATATTGCCCTTATCACATTTTGTTACTGTCTGATTTTTTCCTGCCTCTTTTCTTGGCAGGATCATGGGCTGCTCAAAGGCCTCCCATTCACCTTCTCATCACTAGCACCCAAAATGCACCTGGCTCGCTGTAGGCATTCAGTAACTGTTGAACTGACTTGATCTGGTTCAGAAGAAAATAGATACAGCCAGCTTCTTTTGATAGATATTTCTCAATTAAAAGAGGGCTGCATTTTGGAAAACTAACTAAGTTATTTTTCTAGGTCACAAAAATATTTAAGCAGTTCCTTCTATAATGAAATGCAAATCACATTCTAAATGCAATGGAGAAGGAAAAGACACAGCAGTGGGATTTCTGTCAAGGAAGGCACAGAGTGTACGTGAATTCTTTATATGTTACCAGGAGCTCTAGGTGCTCTGATACCACAATGAAATAGCCTGAAGGTGTAATATACAATTAGTACATGATGTTACCTAAATGTATATTCTAACTCGACAGTTATTTACTTCACTAAACATTCAATCCCCTTTTAGAACAAATATTTTCTAAGGTCTCCCTTCATTATCCTAGAATTCATAGAGTATAGCCTTCTTAAAGTCATTATTTCAATAAATCAATGTCATATCCTAATTGTAATCTAAATAAAAATATTAAATTAGGCAATTCATAGTAAAATAATATCTATTTTGATATGAACACTAGAAGACATATTAAGTGGTCAGATGCTTACCTCAAAGCATCACTATGGATCGGTCAGCCACAGTGTACACTGATACGGGTGGCTTGTACTGGTGATTGGGATAAAAAGGTGTTGGATCTGGCGATGTGATTTTCAGAATGAACAAAAAATCTGCAAGAATTTAGAAAAAGACAAAGTGCGTGTTACTTTAGATTTACATGGCAGTCAAATTCCTGGAAAAGTTATCATATATTAAAATTGCATAACTACTTTCCATATAAAATTGAGTTCGGTTCTAAAGTTGGGTAATTATAAAACCCTTACAGACTATAAACATGAATGTCTGGGAAGACTTCAAAAGTCATGTTCAACGTGGGTTAAGCTTATTGTGTGGGATTTTCCTGCATATTGAAGATGTCTTTCATACCTGGCACCCACCCACTATGTGCTGGGAATCTACCCACCCCTACTGTTTCACTATGACAACCAAAATTGCCTCTATTTCCCAAACAGCTCCCAGTGTCTTAGAACCACTGACCTAAACAGAATGTAACCTTTTGGTAAAATGAAGATATTCTTACCAACCTTACCTAAATCCCAAGGCTGATGTGAAAATCAAATGAGAAAAATGTTTCTGAAAGCCCGTTATAAACCACAACACATCAAAGAAATAATAAATATTATTCTGTCTGCCAAGACTTAACGTTGGAGCAAATTTGGAAATTTCTAGCACTTCCATAACTCTGAGACCTTGTCACTGTGACAGTATTACCTCTAGAAGACTGTCTCTCCATGCCAAGTAAAAGACTGTCTCTCCATGCTAGAGTGTGCTGAATTAACTTTTTTCCTATTATCTGTTCTTGCTTTGGTATTTAAGAAGCAAATCTAAACTATATCATACTAACTAGTTGGTACTGCCATCTAGTGACTTACATAAACCAATCGGCCAGTTCTGTCAAATTTAGCTATTCAGCCATTTAAACAAATTGAGTGCATAAATATTCTATTTTCTGAAACTCACATTTTTCTCTCATTTACGTGAAGGTTTTTTTCTGGGAGAAAGCTGCTATTAAAATGTCTTTTAAAAATAGCATGCCACTAGCACTTTGCTGAATGGCTGCTTCACAGCATGATAATATTCACTATGAATTTTGCAATGTGTTTTAACTAATGCTCGCAGGTACCTAAACCTTGATATCCACATTAGTAGCATTTATTTTTCTGTATAAGGAAAGTAAGGGATGCTTTGGTGTCATGACATACAGATTTATTCTGGATTTTTTTCAGATTTGGCCAGTATGTCTTTGCTCAAGCATCCAAACATCTGACCTCAGTGACAGTGTTCAAGCAGTTGGAATCTGAGCAAACTGCCATCCATCTTATCTGATTTCTCAAACAAGTCCACCTCTTGCCCAAGGAGCATCACCAGTAGAAGCTGAAGAGGGATTTGTGCTGTGTGCTGTGAAGTGTCATCTGAGGTCAATGTGTTGTCATTGATGGCTTGTGCAGGAATGTCAAGATTCAGCATGTGACTTGAGCCCTGCAGCCTACACGCTCTATAAGGCTCGTGGCTCAAGAGATGATTCCTCAGAGGGCTGATAATGAAAAAAGCAAACCTCCATTTGCGTAAAAAAACACATAAATCTGCACTCTACTTTTAATTACACTTTCTCTTACTTTTTTTGCCCAATGATAGTTTAAAAATTTATAGCATAATTTTTTGCCTTTACCACCAATTTTTCTAAATGCAATATTGTATCATTTTCTGTATTTTAAAGGGATAAAGCAAAAATACAAAAACAAAAAAAAACATATATTCCCCAAATGATTAAGGTCCTATGCTGGGTTTTTTTTTTTTTTTAACTCTGATTCATTGAAGAGAGTCAAGTCCTTCTCACCTGTATTATTTTAGCACCCTGTGTTACTTTCTGGAAGTATTTATCACAACAGTAATGGATTTGGGTTAAAAATCTGCAACCCTGCTAGAACAAAGACAACATAAGACCAGGGAAAGACAGCATCTATCTAGACCAGCTTGACCTCCCCAGAGCATAGCACAGGTTCTTCTTACACAAGTTGGCACTAAAAAGAATATTCATTAAATGAAAAGTAAGTGAACAAATGCCTTAAGATTTGACTTTAAATTATTTCTTCTGACAATCATCTCTACTTATTGTAAACCACACACAAAAAGTCAATTGCTACCACTTTTCCTTGATCTTAGCTCTATTAACCCAGCTTTTATGCTAATGGGCTATTAAACTTGTCTTAGTTGCTTGATATCTTTGTTGCTCAATTTCCTCATTGATGAAAATCTGAATATTACAGTGAAAGTGATAATTTGTGTCTCCTTCTTCTACTAATTATGCTTTATTTCTGTTTTATAGCTTATCATCATGTCCAGAACTCAACGAACAATGTCAAGTAACAATGATGATAGAAGAATCAGACTCTTGGTTTTTAAAGACCTATGGGAAACGTCATTTGAATACACCAAGCCCAGTACCCATTTGCTTCCAAAGAAGTGTTGTCAGAGTTACTTTTTGAAGAGTATCCTCCTAAAGGTTCTAAGATATTTCAAACTTAGAGTCTAAGATCAAAATGAAGAAAATGGGACAAACAGCACAGTTTCTTTTAAATAAGCTGCTACTTTAATACTTTAAATCTAGATCCTGAATTATAACACAGTAGTAAAATCATTTGAGTACTGGCAATTAGTTGAAAAATAGCCTTCTGAGGTAATAATTTGCAGGAAAGCCCAAAGATTTAATGTTTTAAGTATTCTTTTTTTTATTTGATCAGTGTAATTTTCTTGTTCAATTTAATGATGATGTTAACATTAGACTGTCCAAAACCTTTGATTTACTGCTAATTGTCAACTTCTGAGCCATGCTGAGCAGACTCTCACACCTTCATCCATGGACATAATTATGTGAACCCTCTCTTTAGTAGTCAAGGCCATAGATTTAAAATATAGGCAAAATAGTAGCTCTGAGGAATCCTTTTTACAAAAACCAGGGTTTATGTTTATGATTTTTAAAAATCTACCTAAAAATGTATAGATAGCTTCTTTGCCCTTTTAGAACCACCCTTAACGGTTTTTCCTCTGTGTGACTTCTGGCATTTTCCAAATGTTCTACAAAGTGCCCACAACCATTAAATGATTTTCCCTTTGTCAATTCGGATCCATTTTCCACCCTCTTCTGTACCACAATATGCTCCAGGAGGATCTTCTCTATGGGCTTCCTTCCTTACACTCTGGTTGCAGATGAGTTTGGTCAGTTGGAGGCACCCAGAGCAAATCAAAAGTATAAGGAAAAAGAATAGATTTATTCACTCACTCCTCACTGGACCATGGTATTTGCCAGTGTCTGCAGTTTTCTTCTGCTCACCCTCACTGCTGCTGGGTGCCTTTGCAGAGCCACTCGATGGACAACACTCTGGTACTGGAATAATCTAAAACAATGCTCAGTTTTTTCAGATGACAAAACACTGGTGATTCAGTTGTTAGAATCTTCCACCTAATTTGGATGTCACACAGCTATCCTATAATTTAATGTTATACAATTTTTACGTTTTAAGCAATGAAATAGGATAAAAAATGAAACACTTTATCAAACTGAACTCAATGTGCAGAAGACTCATTTAATACACACATGTCTAACACACATGCACATACCACACATACAAATATGTGCACGTGCCTATATATATATAATTTAATCTGCATAGTTCAAAGGCAATAATTAAATTGGAATTAATTAAATCAGTTCTTTTATAGAAATATTTTACCAAACTACCACTTAATAGTAAATCCTATTTTAAGGGAATATATTGCACATAAACCCATTTAGTATGTTTAAAGTAGATATCAGTATGACTTAGGCTATCCTAAAACATCAACCTTTAAAAGGCTTTAAAGTAGCTATTACATCCACTTCCTCCACATATATTGTTTTTATTTTCAAATCATATGTGCTTTGGAAAGTGGCTATGCCTAAGATAGTGTTTTACCCCAACTCTTATTTTTTTTGTTATAAATTAGTAGTTTCTACCTCATGAAGAGTGTATCCATCTGCTAGGGCTCCCATAATCAAATACCACAGACTAGGTGGCTTAAACAAACAAACAAACAAAATACATGTTTTCCAGTTCTGGAAGCTGGAAGTCCATGATCAAGGTGCCAGCAAATTCAGCTTTTGATGAAGACTCTCCCACTGGCTTGCAGACTGCTGCCTCTCCATGTGTTCTCACATGGCCCTTTCTCCTCTGGTAGGATTTGGAGAAAGAGATCTCCCTTTTTTTTATTTTTTATTTATCTCTCTTTATTTTCTTACAAAAACATCAGTCTTATTGGATTAGGGATTCACCCTTGTGACGTCCTTTAACCTTAATTGGTTTCCTAAAGGCCCTATCTTCAAATACAGTGACCTTGGGGGTTAGGACTTTAACATATAAGTTTAGGGATGACATAATTCAGTCCATAAAATTCTGCCCTCTGGCTCCTGCAAAATTCATGTCCTTTTCACATGCCAAATATACTTCTTCCATCCCAACAGCCCTGAAACTCTTAACCTATTCCATCATCCATTCCAAGACTAAAGTCTCCTCTAAATCAGGCACGATGAGACTTAATGAGACTGATGCTTTGTCCTGAGGCAAAATTTCTCTCCAGCTGTGAGCCTGTGAAACTAGACAAGTTATGTGCCTCCAAAATACAAAGGTGAGACAATCATAGGATAGGTATTTCCCTTTCAAAAAGGAAAAAATAGGAAAGAATAAAGCGGTGACAGGTTTTAAAGCAAGTCCAAAACCCAGCAAGACAAATTCCATTCAACGTTAAGCCTCGAGAATAATCTTTTTGGCTTTATGCTCTGTTTTCCAAGCCTACTGTGGTGGCACCTTCACCCCAGGGCCCTAGGCAGTGGCCTCACCCTCTCAGCTCTTCACAGGGGCATCCTGGCCCACTGAAATCAAGGGGGTGAGTTCATCCTCTGAAACCAAGGAGGAAATAGCTTTACCCATGGGCCTGTGGTGGAAGTGGCAACTCTGATGATCTTTAAATAGCCTTCATGGTCATTCTTCCCTTTTCATGAAAGATAAGGCATGATCATCACTGGGTGGCTTTACTGTCTCATGTTTTAAATCCCAGAAGTTGGAAAACCTTTCTTCATTTTGTCCTATCTCTATACCCTTCGGTTCAAACTCCAGTGACTTTGCTGGTGTAAGCTCATTTCTTCCTGGCTTCTGCTGAGATGGCTGATTAAAATTATGGGTAATCCCTTTATTAGGTGATTATCCAGACATAACCTTGGTGTGCTCTCCTGAATATTCTTTCTCTTGTTTTGCAATATGAATAGGCTTAGGATTTTCCAAATCTTCAAGTTTTGGTTACTTTTTGCTTACTAATTCCATCAATCTATCTCTCTCTTCTCACATTTTACTATAAGCAGTAAGGAGAAAGCAGGCTGTACTTTCAACACTTTGCTTAGAAATCTCCTCAGCTAGAGTTTCAGTGTCATCATTCACAAAACCAATACAAAGGAATTGTACATAGCATTGTATTTGAGTTGAAGGTGTTTCCCATGAGGTACATATTAACAATTCAGAAGCCATAATACATGTGTAGTGAAAGTGAACAATTAAGTAAAGGAATGGCAACTGTGGGAGCCAGGTTTCTCACAGTTGGAGTGGGAGGTTATAGACAGGTAACAGAAAACCAGAATGATTCATGTGGTAATAAATGAGTTCTAAACATCAGTATGTGTATTAGGGTTCTTTAACAGGACATAACTAACAGGATAGATGAATATATTAAGGGGAGTTTATTAAGAATTGACTCACACAATCACAAAGTAAAGTCCTACAATAGGCCGTCTGCAAGCTGAGAAGCAAGGAAGCCAGTCGGAGTCCCAAAATCTCAAAAGTAGGGAAGCCAATAGTGCAGCCTTCAGTCTGTGGCTGAAGGCCCAGGAGCCCCTGGCAAACCACTGGTGTAAGTCCAGGAGTCCAAACGCTGAAGAACTTGGAGTCTGTTGTTCGAGGGCAGGAAGCATGCAGCACAGGAGAAAGATGGAGACTGGAAGACTCAGCAAGTCTGCTCTTCCCATGCTTGCTTTTATGCTTGCAGCTGATTAGACGGTGTCCACTCAGATTGAGGGTAGGTCTGTCTCTCCCAGTCCATTGACTCAACTGTTAATCTCCTTTGGCAACACCCTCACAGACACACCCAGGAACAATACTTTGCATCCTAAAATCCAGTCAAGTTGACACTCAGTCTTAACCATCACAGTATGAATTAATTTTTAGCTCACTGTAAATACATATGGGGCAATATTTATATATTTGTGTACATACACAGGTTAGTATACACACATATATTTTTTGCTTTGTTAGCTAAGAGGACCTAAAAGAAATGTCACCCTGGAAGGGATGAGCACACCTGGTGCCTAGATCTTGGTTTCTTTTTAATAGTACCAATTTTATTCTCCAATAAAGGGAACCAGAGTTCCTTGGATAAATGGCTGACTGTAAGGCTGGGACAAGAAATATACAAAATGAGAAATATATTAGAAGAGATGAGAAAACATTGTAGCGTCCAAAAGTAAGAAAGTACTCCAATTCACAAACACATACACACATGCAGGTGCACACGCACACACATTGATGGGCATATCAAAGGGACATAAGAGTTAACTGAGAGAGCTCCCTATGGCCAAAGTTGAAATTTTTTATTTTTTAAGAGATCAGTTCTCATTTTGTCACCCAGGCTGAAGTGCAGTGGTGTGATCACAGTTCACTGCAGACTCAAACTCCTGGGTTCAAGTAATACTTCTGCCTCAGCCTCTTGAGTAGCTGGGACTACAAGCACATGCCACCACACCTCACTAATTTTTCAGTTTTTTGTAGAGACAAGAGCCTTGCTCTGTTGACCAGATTGGTTTTGAACTCCTGGGTTCAAGCAATCCTCCCACCTCAGCCTCCCAAAGTGCTGAGAGTACAGACATGAGCTTCTGTATCTGGCCCAAAGTTAAAATAATTTGAGCAACAAATAAGTAAAGTGGTATTGGATTATCACTCAAATTGTAAAATAGCCTGAGTCCATATTGATATAAATAAATGACTAAGTAAATACATTATGGGGCTGGGCGTAGTGGCTCACGCCTGTAATCCCAGCACTTTGGGAGGCTGAGGTGGACAGATCAGTTGAGGCCAGGAGTTCAAGACCAGCCTAGCCAACATGGCAAAACCCCGTCTCTACTAAAAATACAAAAAATTAGCCAGGCATGATGGCACGTGCCTGTAGTCCCAGCTACTCCAGAGGCTGAGGCAGGAAAATTGCTTGAACTCGGGAGGCAGAGGTTGCAGTGAGCAAGATTGCACCACTGCACTCCAGCCTGGGCAACAGAACAAGACTCTGTCTCAAACAAACAAACAAATTAAAAAAACATAATGGGAGGCTGGAAAAGGCAAATCCCCCATGCAGGAGAATTGTAAATAATTTATGTGTATACTTCACCAGATGCTTCACTCTCAAGGAGGGAGAATATAATTTCTCACTCCTTAAATCTGTGCTGTGCATGGTGACTTCCTTTCAAAGACTATAGACTGAAGTCCAGGTGTGGTGGCTCACGCCTGTAATCCCAGCACTTTGGGAGGCCGAGGCGGGTGGATCACGAGGTCAGGAGATCGAGACCATCCTGGCTAACATGGTGAAACCCCATCTCTACTAAAAATACAAAAAACTTAGCCAGGCATGGTGGCAGGTGCCTGTAGTCCCAGCTACTTGGGAGGCTGAGGCAGGAGAATGCCGTGAACCCAGGAGACAGAGCTTGCAGCAGTGAGCCAAGATGGCACCACTGTACTCCAGCCTGGGTGACAGAGTGAGACTCTCTCTCAAAAAAAAAAAAAAAAAAAAAAAAAAACAAAGACTACAGACTGAAAAAGGGTAAAAAGTAACTTTACAAGGAAGAAACCTAACACTACCTCAACCAGTTGACCAAGGTTAACATCAGCTGTGATGAGTCATGTGGCTATTAGCTACCCTTGATAAGAAGCAATGAGAATTGACCTTGATCTCTTCCTTACAAAAACCCTTATTCCAATCTAATAGAAAATAAATGCAAGTTCCAACTGAGGAACATTCTACAAAATACCAGACCAGCTTTTGAAACAATTGTCAAGGTCATCGAAAACAAGGAAAATATGTAAAACTCCCATAGCAAAAAAAAAAACTAAGGAGAAATGATGATGAAACATAATGTGGCATCCTGGATAGGATTCCAGAACAGAAAACAAAAGCATTAGGTGAAAATCAAAGAAATGTAAATAAAGTGTGGACTTTAATTAGTAATAATGTATCAATAGTAGTTCCCTAATTATGACAAATGGCCCAGAGTAATGTAAAATGTTAATAAAATGTTAAACTGAGGATGGGGTATACAGGAACAATGTACTATTTTCATAGTTTTCTGTACATCAAAAAAGTTTAAAAATAAAAAATAAAGTTTATTTATTTATTTTAATTTTTTTTTATTTTTTGAGATGGAGTCCTGCTCTGCTGCCAGGTTGGAGTGCAGTGGTGTGATCTCAGCTCACTGCAACCTCCACCTCCCAGGTTCATGCAATTCCCCTGCCTCAGCCTCCCAAGTAGCTGGGATTACAGGCACGTGCCACCACACCGGCTATTTTTTTTGTATTTTAGTAGAGACAGGGTTTCACCATGTTGGCCAAGATGGTCTCCATCTCCTGACCTTGTGATTCGCCCTCCTTGGCCTCCCAAAGTGCTGGGATTACAGGCGTGAGCCACTGTGCCCGGCCAAAAATAAAGTTTATTTTTTAAAAACTGTAATTTAGATTACTTCTTTCAAAATGGAAATATGTCTACCACATATGATTGAATTTTAAAAGTAGATTTTTAAAGGTTTTATAGTAAATGCTATTGACAATAATAATTAGAATTTTACATCGAAATTCTTTCAAGATATTTATGAAAAAGTAGGAAATTCTAGAAACATACTTCTCTGGAAGTTGATGATTCTGCCACGTAAATGTGAACCTCTGCAAAGCTGGCCAAGCTTTTACTCTAGAGTAGCATACTTAGTCAATTCATCTGTGCATCAGTTTTCAAGTGGTTTCTCGTAGCTCATGATCTGCAGTAGCTGATGAGTTTTTAGGACATTTTTTAAAATTTATGCCCTAAGGTCATACATAATGTTGTGGTATAATTCGCTTCTTATCATTATAAACAGAGTCTATGTGGCCTGAATTGTTGCCCCTTCTTCTCTGTAATACCAGTTATGTCTATTATTAACACACATCCATGTATCTCCTGTAAATATCAGTACTTTGAATCTGAGCCACATGAAGTGTTAACAACTCCACAATGAGTAAAAAATCACTGATTCCACCAGGCCAAAAATCAGTATACCTAAAAGTGCTAATTTTTTGCTAAATGGAGGTAAATCTCCCAACAAGGCACAAAGCACTAAATCATTTATAAAGCTGAAAAGTCATTTAAATATTTTGGGAGGCAAGGTGGGGATGAATGAATAAATTAAACATAACATTTTTCAATACTCAGGGTCCCTAAGCACTGGAATAACTTGAAGACTTAACAAAACTTTTACTTCTAGAATTCCTAATTTCTCAGAAAAAAAAGGCATTTGATGAAAACCCATGTTATTTGGTAATGCATCTCTATATAGTATTTCATCAAGTTTTATCAAATATCAAATAGCAAAAGAAAAGCTAAACAGAAGTATAAGATGACTAAAGACAGATTAATTTTAGCTTTGTGGTCAGCAAGAAGCTAAGCAAAGATTGTGTAGAATAAAAGTAAAAAATAATAAGATATATATAGTATATCAAATAGAATGGGACTTAACTGCAGTAATAATTAAGAAATGATCAAAGATAAATGTGGAATTATGAATTACATTCACTCAGATGACAATTTAAAGAATGGCCTTACTTTCCCTTAGGAGGGGCTTTTCCCATAATGGTTAGATATAATTAATTGGCCTGCTTATTTGGGAAGGGGCAGAAAATCATTCACAAGGTAGCTAACCTTTCCTCCATGCAGTCAAAGATTTACAATTATGAGCAAAACAGCAGGTCTTTATCTTAGGGAAATATTAGCACAGCTCTCTCAGTCTTTGCAGAGAGGAAGGGGAACATCACACACCGGGGACTGTTGTGGGGTCGGGGGAGGGGGAAGGGATAGCATTAGGAGATATACCTAATGCTAAATGACGAGTTAATGGGTGCAGCACACCAACATGACGCATGTATACGTATGTAACAAACCTGCACGTTGTGCACATGTACCCTAAAACTTAAAGTATAATAATAATAATAAAAAAAGAATTCTTGAAATACTCAACATTTCAAACAAGCAGCTTATCTTGCACTCAATCAATCAGTTGTTTGAATTTCACACATATTTATTTGTGTTACTCTAAACTGGTTGTATATAAATTCATGAAAGCTAAAGATCTCAATTATTTCAAAATTATTTGACATTATTCTAGCCAATTCCCAGAGTGTTTGTTACCACCTTTCTCAGACAGCCCTGCCTGTTCTTCAGCCAATACTTCTATCAGAAGGCTTAGTTTCATCGGCTTTTAGAATCTTGGTTAAATTTTGCTGTCCTTAACCCAGTTTAAAATACCTAGGATTCGTGGTGTGCCTCATCTGCACTAAACTTCAGTTTTTCTGTTAAACCCACTAAGCTTTCTTTGTCTGCCAGTGACTGTACTTTTGTTGCAGCTTACTGATCTGCAACCTGGGCTGCCCTTCTGGGACTTGTTGTTACCTCTATCACATTAAAGATTTTAAAACTTCATCCTACATATAAGAGTTACTTCCTAAGACTTGCAGGGGGAATGATAAACAGTTTCGGTGAGGAAGTACAATCTGAACACAGATTTGAGGGCAATCTAAATACCTCACTATGCAAGGACAAGAATACCAGGCAAGGGGTAAAAAATGGCATTTTCAGGAGTGATAAGAACTTCAGGGTGTCTGGTGTGTGGATATTCCCGTGTACAAGAGCATAAGGGAACATTAAGTCTGTATTAATCCATTCTCACATTGCTATAAAGAACTATCTGAGACTGGGTAGTTTATGAAGAAAGAGGTTTAATTGACTCAGTTCTGCATGGCTGGGGAGGTCTCAGGAAACTTACAATCATGACGGAAGGTGATGGAGCAGCAAGGCATACCTTCCCATGGCAGAGCAGGAGAGAGAGAGAGCTAAGGGGGAAGTGTCACACACTTTTAAACTATCAGATCTTACGAGAACTCACTCATTATTACAAGAACATCAAGGAGGAAATCCGTCCCCATGATCCAATCACCTCCCACCAGGCCCCTCCTCCAATTCAACATGAGAGTTAGGCAGGGACACAAATCCAAACCATACTATTCTGCCCCTGGCCCTTCCCAAATCTCCTGTCCTTCTCACACTGCAAATTACAATTATTCCTTCTCAACAGCCCCCAGTCTTAACTCATTTCAGCATCATCTTAAAAGTCCACAGTCCAAAGTCTCATGTGAGGCAAAGTAAGTCCCTTATGCCTATGAGCCTGTAAAATCAATAACTAGTTACTTCCAAGATACAATGGGGGTGCAGACATTGGGTAAATAGTCCCAATCCAAATGGGAGAAATTGGCCAAAACAAAGGGGTTACAGGCCCCATGCAAGTCTGAAACCCAGCAGGGCAGTCATTAAACCTTAAAGCTTCAAAATAATCTCCTTTGACTCTATATCTTACATACAGGGCATGATGATGCAAGAGGTGGACTGCCAAGGCCTTGGGCAGATCCACCCCTGTGGCTCTGCAGGATACAGCCCCAGCAGCTGCTTTCATGGGCTGGCACTGAGGGCTTGCACCCTCTGAAGCCATGGCCTGAGCTATACCTTTAGCCATGGCTGGAGTGGCTGGAACACCAGGTGCCATGTTCCAAGGCTGCACAGAGCAGTGGGTCCTGGGCCTGGCCCATGAAACCATTTTTTCCTTCTAGGCCTTCAGGCCTATGATGAGAGGGGCTTCTGTGAAGGTCTCCGAAATGCCCTAAAGACATTTTCCTCATTGTATTCATTATTAACATTTGGCTCCTCTTTACTTATGCAGATTTCTGTAGCTGTCGAATTTCTTCCCAGAAAATGGGTTTTTCTTTTCTACTACATCATCAGGCTGCAAATTTTCCAAACTTTTATGCTGTTTACCTGTTAAATATAAGTTCCAATTTCAGACCATCCTATCTCTTTGTTCACACATATGACAGTACACTTTTAGAAATAGCCAGGTTACACCTTGAATGCTTTGCTGCTTAGAAATTTCTTCTGCCTGATACCCTAAATTATCTCTCTCAAGTTCAAAGTTCCACAGATTACTAGAGCAGGGGCACAATGCTGCCAGTCTCTTTGCTAAAGCATAGCAAGAATGACCTTTGCTTCATATTCCAATAAGTTCCTCATCTCTATCTGAGACCATCTCAGCCTAGACATCATGCTCCATATCACTATCAGCATTTTGGTGAAAACCAATCAACAAATCTCTAGGAAGTTCCAAACGTTCCTCACCTTCCTGTCTTCTTCTGAGCCTTCCAAAGTGTTCTAGCCTCTGCCCATTACCCAGTTCCAAAGCTGCTTCCACATACTTGGGTATCTTTATAGCAATAACCCACTCCTTGTTCCAATTTTCTGTATGAGTTTGTTCTCACATTGCTATAAAGAACTAACTGAGACTGGGTAGTTTATGAAGAAAGAGGTTTAATTGACTCACAGTTCCACGTGGCTGGTGAGGCCTCAGAAAACATATAATCATGGCAGAAGGTGAAGGGGAAACAAGGCATATCTTCTTATGGTGGATCAGGAGAGAGAGAGCTAAGGTGGAAGTGTCACACACTTTTAAACCATCAGATCTCATGAGAACTCACTCACTGTCAAGAGAACAGCAAGGGGAAAATCTGCCCCTATGATCCAATCATTTCTGATAGGTCCCTCCTCCAATTTGTTGTGAGATTTGGGTGGGGACAAAAATCCAAATCATATCACAGCCCTTTAATTCTTTTAAACTCAACATACCCAAATTGAAATTTATAATTTATTCATAAAAATCTGCTGTTGCAGCTTACCAAATAATTTGAGTTTAGGCATTAAAGTTCTAAGCATACCCATCTGTGGGTTTTAGTTTTTCTCATTTTGTTTTCTTTGCCAATACCAGCTCCTTTCCTAAATAATGTATATATTTTTTTCTTCCCTGAGGCCTTGAACTCCTATTTGCAATAGTATGGCAATGAAGAAGGTGAATGATGTGTGAAGATGATGATTCTGTCTTTATGATGCCAAGCAGACTGAGGAAGAGGAATATTTTGGGGGAGTGGGCACTTACTCAAAAATATCCCCCTGAAAGTATAAGGCTCCAGTCATTTGTAAGCGCTTATTAAAAACCATCAGTGTGCTTGCCTAGGCTGATACAGTGCTGAGAATTTCCTGGAGTTTTATCTCCTGGTTCACTGATAAGGCAGCAAAATTATATTATTCAAATAATGAAATCAATATACTTAGGTGAGGCCCCAGTCAATAACTGAAGGAATTAACATACAGACATAGAAAAATATTATTGGTGGAAGGTTGTTCAGTGTCAGCAGAAGCACTTATCATACCTGATGTGAACAGGTCAACTTCCATAGTTCTCAGCCTCCCTTTCACTCTGTCCCCTTCTCTTCTTTCCCCATGGAGCTAACAGCATATAATAACACTGGCACATGATAGAAATTGGCAAAATCATTTATGAGAAAGGCCTAGTTGTTTCCAGAAATGTCGTATGGGTAATAACAATAAAGATAGTATTAATAATAGTTAATATTTGAGACCTTACACTGTTCTGAGTGCTTACTATGCATTTTTAAAATACTCACTACAAACCTTTGAGGTAGACACCATTATTACATTTATTTTTAGAGATGAGAAAACTGAGTCACAGAGAGGTTAAATCAATTGTTCTAAGTCATACAGCTAATGAATGGCAGAGCTGGGATTTGAACTGAACCAAACTAGGTCCAGGGCCTGAAATCTTAAACATGACACATTGAAACTCTTGGCTAACATCTTTCTCTCTGAGCCATCGAATGGAATATGGGTGTAACTTTTCAACAGAGCATATTAATTGGTAAACAAATTATAGACATGAGATCACACATGAATCTATTACAATGGCTACTATATTTATTTCCTGGCTTGACAATGGAGACACTAGCTCTAAGCATTCTTTCAAAGCTTCATAAATTAATTGCCTCATATATGTGTAATGCCTGAATTCAAAGCTTATTTTCTTATGAGAACCTTGAATATGCTACATTTTTGTAATGAAGTCAGAACTGAAATATATCAGGTATCTTTTAGAGGTTAAAAAACTAGGAAATAAAATTTGGACACCAATTCACATGCTTTTGCATATAAGACACTATCAGTTATATTACTTCTTACCAAATCATAATACCAGAAAACCACAGAAACCCAAATTTGAATAATCTTAGATTTCCTTTCTCTTATCCTTTTTGCAATTACTGTCCTTATTCTTGGTTAATGTTCTAAAGGCTGTGATAATACCCTTTATAATTTTATGCTTATGAAAATCTTAGAAACAGTTACATGTATTTATGAATAATATACCTTATTTTTTCACTTTTCTTGTCAATATTTTCTTTTCTCAAAAAGACTTTTATGTTAGCTTATTAGACACCAAGTTCGTATAGCGTTTCAAAAATGCCATATGTCATGACATTTTATAAATGGCACATTTACTCCTGTACCTGTGTTTAGCAAAATACCTCTTAGTACAGTTCATGATTCTCATCAGCACAGACTGGGAAAGAGATGCTGTCACCAAAAGGTATTCATTACATTCCAAGAAGGCAATATTAAGTCAAAGGAAGCAGCCCAATTTAAGACACTTTATATAAAGGAGAATGTCCTTGGAGATGGATGACTGAGATCTGTAAAATGTATGTTATAATTAAAATCGTAACCATGGGTTCATGATATTCTACAGATACCATAAGCTGCATTAATTGACTAGGTGGAATTTCAAATGAGCAAAGTACTATAATCAAAATGAGGAGGGTTATAATTAACTGAGGTTTCTAGTGAGGGTCACCAAGTCAGATAGATTCTGTCTGCTGCTGCTGTGCATTCAAGGATTAAAAACAGAATTATGATGTAACAATTTAATTGAAAATATTGTTTTTTAGTGATTTACTAGTCCAGATTCCTAAAGGCATTAAGGGCAGGATGAATATAGCTAAGTGGGTAAATATGCTGAGTTTAAACCTTCCTTAGAAAAAGAAAAACAGTGGAGAATTTTGTTTTTATATATATGCATACACCCCAACCCACTGTCCCATTGGGGATATTGAATGATTGGAAAATGTCGGTGGTCATGGAGATGAATGCGCTTCCTTTTGTTGTCTTATTTGCTTTGTAATTCTTCCCTGTTAGTAGGAGGAGAGTATGTTGGAGGAAAGCCAAAATGTTCAGAGCTATTCACAGCACTTAATGACTTTATAGCTTCAAGTTTCAAGTAAATCTTGTCAAGAGTCCTCTGTTGGACTTATAATAGAAATGCTGACACTAAGGAAGTGACAAAAGCTTGCCTAGTTGCCCTAAGTGTTTGCATGGAAAACACACAAAGGAGGTGAAGGAGGTGGAGAGTAAGAAAATGTGCTCTCTATTCCAAGACTAAATAGTTACATTTCTAGTAGTCCAGTGGAAAAGAAAAGGGTTAGGATTGAATGCTTTTCTACCTTTCTTCATATGGCTAGTTTCCTCCTTTCTTTAAACAATTTTGATGCCTTTTAAATGTTAAGGCCTCCTCTTTATCTGAGCACTTATTGCAATTGTTTTATGTTTTTGATCTCTCTCACTCATCAGAATGTAAATTACATGAAGGCACAGACAAACCTGTCTTGCTCACCTTGGAATTGAACATAGCCTATTTTTAACCAAAAGCCTTAACAATCACATAAACAATTAACATATATTTTATATATTCTATTTATTATATACTGTATTTTTACAATAGAGTAAGCTAGAGAAAAAATGTTATTTAAAAATCATGAGAAAGAGAGAATATATTTACTATTTATTAAGTGGAAGTGGATCACCATTAAGATCTTCATCCTTGTGGCCTCCACGTTCAATAGGCTAACGGGGAAGAGGAAGAGAAGTTGGTCTTGCTGTCTCAGGGGTGGCAGAGGCAGAAGAAACTCCTCATCTAAGTGAACCCACACAGTTCACACTTGGTTGTTTAAGGAACATCTGTAGGGAATATATTTACACTTATAATTCCCACTATTTTTGCACTTCAGTGCCATATAAAACTTCAAACTCAATATATCTAAAGAAGAAATTATTATGTTCCTCTTGAAATCTACCACTCTTTCTGGGTTTTCTATATCGAGGAATGGTTTCACCATCCTTCAAACCCAGAAGCCCAAAGTCTGAATCTTTCTTAATTCTAATTCATCATTATCCATGTCCACTTAGTTACAAAGTCCTATACGTTGTATCTCTTAAATACAATGTAAATTTCCGCAATTACCACATTCACTACCACTTCATTAAATTAGAGTGCTTATACTACTGTGATAAAATCATAACTAGCTTCTTCAATTTCATTTTCACCACTGTGTCTGGATAATGTACTGATCTTCCTAAAATTCTTACAATGTCCTTGTTTTAACTTTTTAATGGTATCTCGTGGCCTCTAGCTTAAAGCTCAAATTCTTATCAAAGCTTGCAAAATCCTTTATCATATGGGTCCTGCCTATTTCTCTCACTCTTTATCTCACTGCCCCACATGTGCTTTTTGTATCAGTCACACAAAACTCCCAAATAAACCATGCTCTACTTCTGTATGTTTATACATCAGGTGTGTTTCTTTCTGTAACATCCCTCTCTCTCATCCACCCAACTTTAGATATTTCATTATTTAAGAAGTAACTCAAAGCTGACTTCCTCTTGAAAGGAAGTCAATTTTCCTTTCTCCAATTTCCCTCCCATATTCTTAACCCCAAGGCTGGATTGGGTATTACTCATCACACTCTCTCTTTAGTTCTTTACCATTCAGTGTCTTATTTTCTTATAATATTAACATTATTGCGTAGTATATTAACTATTGGTTTTCTTCATTTTTTTTTTTCTTAAACAGTAAGTACCTTTAGGTTAGAGACTTACTGTCTTTATATTTTTGTGATACATCAGAGTGTCTGAATATAATACCTCCCCAGTAAATGTCTTCTGCATAACATGATCCATGATGCTAGGAATTACCCCACTGTGTAACATTTTCAAAAGTATACTTTAATCAAGGCATTAGTTTCTGCCATTTTTTGGAAAAGAAAAACGAAGTTTATCAATATGAGGCTTACTCAAATACACAGGAGAGAAATAGTAAAACCATTTTGCAAATCTTTGTCTACATTAATATATGGTTCTTATTCTACTCTATGTCATATCATCTCCTCAAGTCGCATATAAATTGGACATGGAGAAAAGAGTCAGTATTATGAGAGAGAACTTGGGATAAAAGATAAATCTAAGTAAGGACACTATAAATCTCTTTGTTTCTATTCTTATTGTTGTCATTACTTTCCTGTTGTTTTATATTATTTTGAGGAGGAAGGAGATTTCTGTCTCTTTTATTTAACAAACCACATTAAAAAGAAAATCTTATATGCAAAACCCCCAAAATTCATCAGTCTACTTTGCCTACATTATTTGTTTTAACCTGTGGATGATCAATAAGCATAAACATGGTTTTACTTCAAAGGCAACTATTTCTCTTTAATATTCACTAATCTTTATAATTTGACAAATCTAAAAAAATGGGCTTCACAATTTTGTTAAACATCAAAGAAAACTAAGATCTCACTCAAATAAAAACAAAGATGCATTTCGTCATGTTAGAAATGATCTTCTTTGCTTGTCAAGCTGGTCAATGTAAATATAAAGAATAGTTTACTTCATTATTATTTTATTTTACAGTAAGAGTTTTGCTCTGAGACAAAAGTAGCATTTGTTTTTGATACTCTGTTTTGTATACTCTTGCTTTCTAAGTATATAGATTTGTAAAACCCTTTACCAGCCAATAGGAACAGTGGAGATATTCACAAAAGGGAAATGAAGAGGATAATGTGACAGTAAATTCCCTACTCTATGGGTTTGCTTGGAACTGTATTTTGGAAAGAAGTCTTAACACAACACAAATGTTAAACTCTAGATGAGGAAACACATTCGGGAATGTTTAAGAATGAAGTGTACTGATGAAGCAAATTACTTTGAAAGCATCAAAATACTATTTGATGAACTGTTAGAGGGATGAACAGAAGATGGTTAAATATTTAATAAATAATTATAGCAAAATGTTAATTGTAGAATCTAGGTGATGAGCTCATGGTTATTCACCACGTAATTCTTTCAACTTTTCTATATTTTGATAAAATTTATAGCAATATGTTTAAAAATCAATCATAATGAAATATTTAAAAATATAATTGAACCCATGCAGAATTTCTGGACTTGAGCCCATTGTCAGACCCAGAACTCACTAACTAAAGAAAATCCTAGGTTTCTTTAAGGAAGCACCATGCAAAACCATGACAAGTATATTCACTAGTAACTTCCCCAGTCTTTTCCTAAAGGAACCTACAGCCATTTATTTGGTTAATCATACATTGGGAAAAAGAGAATACCTCCAAATATTTTGAGAATGTCAGTATACAGCATTTATAGTAGCATGGATAACCAAGGAAAAGTGTCACCTTTGCCCCATAAAAGAATACAAACACATGTTTCTAGGTAATAAATGTTGTCCTAGGGCTGGCTCAGCTTGTAGTTATGATCACACAAAAATTATTTTCCAGTTCCTAAATGTATAATTGTGCTAGTTATAGTTGGTAGTCAGTAGAATCAGTTCCTTGAGCTGTGGTGTAACAGAAATAACAGAGGGAAAGGTTAAATGGAAGCCTCTGAAATTGCCCCTCCACTTCTGACCAACATAGTAAACATAGTAGTAGAATAGTAAATACAGTCAAAATAATAACATGTCATAAAAGTATCTATGAGATTAGTGAAATATTTATGATATAAAATATGTGGAGGTATTAGCCCTCATCATATCCTACTTAATTTAAAAGTCTGGTCCCTGCAAAAATTAAATAAATCCAGAAACTCAACCAAGTAGAAGCCCAAATTGCAGCTTCTATATCAGATATACTCTACGCTAGAACAAATTAACACAGCCACCAGCACGTTTTATGTGGCCACTTATTTGATGAATGCACTATTTTCCATTCTTATCAATAAGGAAGACAAAAAACAGTTCACATTCACATAGAATGGACAATAGTATGCAGTATGGTCTTTCCCCAAGACTACAGAAATTCTCTTGGTCTCTTTCAAAGTATAATCCAAAGTGATTTGAGCCACACAAACATTCCACAGAACATCACGCTGGCTAACTATATGGATGACGTTGTGTTAACTGGATTGAAATATAAATTGGAGCTTTAGGCAAGACAAATGTGCTGCTGAGGATAGGAAACACACCGGGAAGTTCAAACTGGGTGGAGCCCACCGCAGTTTGGCAAAGTTGCTGTAGCCAGAGTGCCTCTCGCCTCTCTAGATTCCTCCTCTTTGGACAGGACATCTCTGAAAGAAAGGCACCAGCCCCAGTCAGGGGCTTATAGATCAAACTCCCATCTCCCTGGGACAGAGCAGCTAGGGGCAGGGTTGGCTGTGGGCCCAGCTTCAGCACTTAAACGTTCTGGCCTGCTGGTTCTGACGAGAGCAGCGGATCTCCCAGCACAGCGCTCAAGCTCTGCTAAGGGACAGACTGTCTCCTCAAAGGGGTCCCTGACCCCTGTGCCTCCTGACAGGGAGACATCTCCCAGCAGGGGTCGACAGACACCTCATACAGGAGAGCTCCGTCTGGCATCTGGTGGGTGCCCCTCTGGTACAAAGCTTCCAGAGGAAGGAGCAGGCAGCAATCTTTACTGTTCTGCAGCCTCTGCTGGTGATACCCAGGCAAACAGGGTCTGGAGTGGAACCCCAGCAAACTCCAGCAGACCTGCAGAAGAGTGGCCTGACTGTTAGAAGGAAAACTGACAAACAGAAAGCAATAGCATCAACATCAACAAAGAGGATGACCACGCAAAAACTCCATCCGAAGGTCACCAACATCAAAGACCAAAGGTAGATAAATCCACGAAGATGAGGAAAAACCAGTGCAAAAAGGCTGAAAATTCCAAAACCAGAATGCCTCTTCTCCTCCAAAGGATCACAACTCCTCTTCAGCAAGGGAACAAAACTGGACGGAGAATGAGTTTGATGAATTGACAGAAGTAGGCTTCAGAAGGTGGGTAATAACAAACTCCTCCGAGCTAAAGGAGCATGTTCTAACCCAATGCAAGGAAGCTAAGAACCTTGAAAAAATGTTAGAGGAACTGCTCACTAGAAAAACCAGTTTAGAGAAGAACATAAATGACCTGATGGAGCTGAAAAACACAGCACGAGAACGTTGTGAAGCAAACACAAATATCAATAGCCGAATCGATCAAGGGGAAGAAAAGATAACAGAGATTGACAATCAACTTAATGAAATAAAGCATGAAGACAAGGTTAGGGAAAAAAGAATGAAAGGAACGAACAAAGCCTCCAAGAAATATAAGACTATGTGAAAAGATCAAACCTACGTTTGATTAGCGTACCTGAAAGTGATGGGGAGAATGGAACCAAGTTGGAAAGCACTCTTCAGGACATTATCCAGGAGAACTTCCCCAACTTAGCAAGACAGGCCAACATTCAAATTCTGGAAATACAGAGAACACCACAAAGATACTCCTTGAGAAGAGCAACCCCAAGACACATAATTGTCAGATTCAACAAGGTTGAAATGAAGGAAAAAATGTTAAGGGCAGCCAGAGAGAAAGGTCGGGTTACCCACAAAGGGAAGCCCATCAGACTAACAGCAGATCTCTCAGCAGAAACCCTACAAGCCAGAAGAGAGTGGGGGCCAATATTCAACATTCTTAAAGAAAAGTATTTTCAACCCAGAATTTCCTATCCAGCCAAACTAAGCTTCATAAGTGAAGGAGAAATAAAATCCTTTACAGACAAGCCTAAGTGGGAGTTAAACAATGACAACATATGGGCACAGGGAGGGGAACATCAAACACTGGGGCCTGTTGGCGGGGGGGCAAGGAGACGGATAGCATTAGGAGAAATATATAATGTAGATGATGGGTTGATGGGTGCAGCAAACCACCATGTCACATGTATATCTATGTAACAAACCTGGACATTCTGCACATGTACCCCAGAACTTAAAGTATAAAAAAAAAAAATTCTAATAGAATTATATGTGAGTTTAGCTAAGCTGAAAAATACAAGTCAGAATACAAAAGTCAATTGTGTTTCTATAAATTAGGCATAAACATTTGGAAATTAAATGTAAATAAAATGCCATCTATAATAGCATCAAAAATCATAAAATACTTAGGGATGAATTTAACAAAACATGTGAACTATTTGAATGCTAAAAATCACAAAACAATGATGAAAAAATTAAAGAACACCTAAGTAAATGGACAAAGGTATGTGCTCATAGGTAGGAAAAACCCAATACTGTTAAAAGATCAATTCTCTTCAATGTGATTTATCAATTTAATGCAATCCCAATAAAAATTTCAGCCTGATTTTTTTTGTAGACATTGATTAGATGACTATAAAATTTGTAGAGAAAAGCAAAGGACTTAGAATAGCCAAAATAATTTTGGAGAAACAAAGTTTGAGGACTCTCACCACCTGGTTTCAACACATCTTATAAAGCTATAATAATCAAGAGAATGTGGTATTGACATAAGGGCATATAGATTAATAGAACAGAATAAAGAGTCCAGAAATTCAACCTACATATCAATTGAATTTTGACAAAGGCCCAAGGTAATACAATAGAGAAAAGATAGTCTCTTCAATAAATGTTACTCCAACAATTGGTCCCCTATATGCAAAATCTTGAACATCAAACTTTACCAGATATCATATACAAAATTAACTCAACATGATCATACACCTAAATATAAAATCTAAAACTATAAAGCTTCTGAGAGAAAACATAGAAAAAATTGCTCACAACCATGGGCAAGGCAAAGCTTTCTTAGATATGATACAAAAAGCATGAGCCATAAAAGAAAAAAAATTGCTAAATTGGACTTGATTAAAATTAAGGACTACTGCTCTTTGGAAAGCATTGCCAAAAAAGTGAAAGACAAACTATAGACTGGAAGAAAAATTCACGAAACACATAAAGGACTTGTATCTAAAATATATTTTTAAAACTTTTAAAATTCAATTATAAGAAACAAAAAACACAATTTTTAAAGTGGGCAAATAATTTAAATAGACACTTCACCAAGAAAAGATACCAATGGCAGATAAGTGCATAACAGGATGCTCAATATCATTAAAAATAAGAGAAGTATAAATTAATACTGCAATGAGATACCACTATACACGTAATAGAAAATCGAGGATTTTTTAAAGGAATAATGAAAGAAAAAACTGACGATATCAAGGGCTAGTACAAATGTGGAGTAACTGAAACTCTCATATTGCTAGTGGTAATGCAAAATGGTACAACCACTATGGAAAAAAATATGATATATTTTTAAGTGAACTATACACGCATATTAGCCAGCTATCCCACTCCTAGATATTTACTTAAGTGAAATGAAAATATGTGTCTACAGAAAGAATATATGTAAATGTTGAGCCGGGCGTGTTGTCTCTCACCTGTAGTCCCAGCTACTCAGAAGGTTGAGGTGGGATGATCATTTGACCCTAGGAGTTTGAAGCTGCAGTGAGCTATGATCTGCCACTGCCTTTCAGCCTGGGCAACAAAGTGAGTCTCAAAGTGTTGTTTGTCTCAAAAAACAAACAACAACAACAAAAACCACTATACATGAATGTTTATAGTAGCTTTATCCATAATTGACAAAGACTAAAAACAACCCAAATGTCATCAACTGGTAAATGGATAAACAAATTGTTTCATGTTCACAAAATATAATACTACTTGGTAATAGATTGAACTACTGATACACAATGTGGATATGTTGCAAAAGCATTGTGCTAAGTGAAATAAGCCAGATTTTAAAAATTATATAGTGTAAACTGTAACTTATATAACATTCTAGAAGTGGCAAAACTAGACCACACCAATGGTTGCCAGAGGCAAGTATTAGGGGAAGAGACTGACTACAAAGTGGCACTAAGGAGAGTTTGGGGTGATGAAATGTGCTATATCTTCGTTGTAGTCTTGATTACAGGGCTACATGTCTTTGACCAGGATCATCAACTCTACACCTAAATGGGGTAAATTTTACTATCCATAAATCAGACCTCAATAAATCTGACCTAAAAAAAAAAAGAAAAAAGAAGATTACCTTATAAGAGTTAAATGTATAAAAACCACATGTATTGAATGAAATTAGCTATTTGCAGAACTATTTTAAAGAGAATGTCACCACAATTAATACTGGGAAGAAGTCCCAAAAACTCTAATAATAATGACTATAATGTATTAAACATCTACTATATGCCAGGTAGTTAATATCTGTTGTCTCTAATTTGCAGAAAAACCCTGAAAGGTAGATACTATTTTCAGAGATAATTGATTCTTAGCAGGGTTAAGTAACTTACATGAAATTATTCATTAGATAAGCAGCTGTTATATGTGTTTAATCCTAGATTTGCCTAAATTTATATTCCCTTTCCATGAAAATATTCTATGTTCTTTCCACTAAAAATAATGCTACTCTGAAAACAATTTTTGTTGTAGAAGACTCTGTGGTCTAATCAAAGTTTGTGATCTCCCTGAAGAAAGAATATGTTAACAGATTCTTTCTAGTATAAAGAATATGTTTCCTGGATAAAATATATGAATCTCAGAAAATGTTCAGAGAGACAAAATTAATTTGGTCATGCCTTTATTCAACTATCTTCAGGGTATGGAAATAATATGTCTAGTGTACAGGAGTTTTTCTTTCCCTAGGAAAGAGTTATTGTTGGTTTTGTTTTACTTTGTGTGTCTGATTTTGTGGTATGGAAGTATTTTGTCAAGTCTTAACAGTTCCTGGACAAAATGTCCCTAATCATATTTCATAATTCTTGCTTGCCATGGAATCAGCAGGTTTATAATTTGGTTTCCTAGATACCTTGAAAGCAGGAGGCGGTGACCTAGATAAAGGAAACGAGTGCTCTAGTCACTGGCTGTCACACATTTGATCATAAGTGAACAATTAGGATTCTGTTTGAGTCATCAATGGCTTGTGAAGTATTTGGTGAGTGAGGTTTTGAGGTGTCTACTCATCTGAGGCTACACTGATGACATAAAGTTTCTGCACCTACAAGGATGAGGGTCAGCATGTAGTAACAGAGATTTCATGTAAACAAGGCCCCACTGCAATGTTTTCTATGAAATCTGTGTGTAGGCTTAGAGCTACATCTTACTCTTCCACTGGTTCAAGTTGAATCTCTTATTTTATTGATGTTCTGCTTAATTATTATCTATTCATAGGGACAACATTCTTTCCAAGTAATCGGTGTTTAGCAACTAGAGGCAATCAAGTAGAATTCATGTCTCTGTCAAAGTGGGAGTCATTCAAATGAAATAAATCAGAAACATTAATCAATACAACTATGTATTTCTTGCCATCAATGAAGATTTTTAATACATCATCCAAGCTGACTGAAAAGTAGAACAAAAGTTGTGTTGCTTTTTTTTGTAATTTTTGAAAAGTACTGAGATACTGCGATTGCTAAGCAGGAGTGGGAACAGATCAAAGAAGACAGAGTGAATAAGGCCGAACTATAAAGAATAATCATACTATGTTAACAAACATAATAAAAGTCATTCAAGTCCAAGGCATATGTGCATTCTTAAGTGATGTGTAAGCATAAATAAAATGATTAGCAAAGTCAGTCTCATCAAAATGACTGGTACTATGTATGGAATTCCCATTACCCAAATGACAGAGAAAATCATAGGAGACCTGGAGTGAAGCCCTGGCTTTGCCACATAATCATTAGCCGTATGACTTTGGTTGTGTAGCTCAACCTCTCTGAGGGTCAGATTTTTTCATCTGTAAATGATGATGCAGTACTTATCATTCAGAGATTTTTAAGCATTAAAGAATATCATGCATATACCTATTTTGACAGAGTTAATACAGTTACGTTTCCTCCTGGGAATACAGCTAAATTATATTTTCCAGCCTCCCTTAGAGTTAAGCGGGGCCATAAGATTAAATTTTGGTCAATGAGGTATTGGAAATGATGAATGTCATTTTCAACAGAGGGTTCTAAAATGTCCTCCACAATCCAAGCTCAGCCTCCAACTTGATGGCTAGATAACTTTAGGACTTTGAAGAGTATCCTGGGACTCTGAAGAAGTATTCACCAGACTAGGTCGTTACATTACTGCACTCCCAGATGTCCTTCAATAGACTATGAAATGAACATAAGTAAATGATTTGGTTATAGTTGTATGGAGTGAATTTACACTGTCAAATACTACAGAAATGTTATTTTCTTTTTTCTGTTAACTAGTAGCTTCTGGACAGCATAACATTTAAAGGGAAATCTATTGTCAGAAAAACCAAACACCAATTTGATCTGATTTAATTCAGTTATTAATTTAACAACATTTATTGAACACTTATGTGCCAAGAACCATTATAGACACTGGAAATAGGATGATAAATTCAACATAGTTCCTGCCCTCATGTAGCAAATATTTCAGTGAATGAAACAGACAATAAATAAGGAATTTACACATGCACACACACACACATGCACACACACACAAACATGCACACATGCACACACACATTGGGTAATCAGCTCTATGAACAAAAATTCAACAGGCTTACACCTGTAATTCCAACACTTTGGGCAACTGAGGTGGGAGGATCACTTGAGGCCAGAAGTCCGAGACCAGTCTGGGAATGTAGCGAGACCCCCACCAATCTCTACCAAAAAAATTGAAATTAGCCAAGTGTGGTAGCATAAGCCTGTAGTCCCAGCTACTTGGGAGGCTGAGGCAGGATCTTTTCAGCCTTGGAGTTCGAGGCTGCACTGAGCTACGATCATGCCACTGTACTCTAGCCTGGGCAACAGAACAAGACCCTATCTCTTAAAAGAGAGAGAGAGAATACAGTATGATGAGGGACTATTTTAAAGAAGGAGTTCTGAGAAGTCTCCTTGAGAGGTTAACATCTGAACTGAAGTATCAATTGAGTGTGAGAATGAAATTCTCAACTCCAAGTAGAAATTGCAAATGTAAAGGCCTGAGTTAGAAACTTGCTGGCACATCTGAGGACTATCAGGGAGGTAAAAGTAAGCACAGACCAGAGAGCAAGAGATAGAGTGATAAGAAATGAGGCCACAGACTAAAACAGGGCCCAGATCATGTAGAAACAAGATCATAAAAAGGACTTTGGGTTTTATTTGAAATCTAATGGGAATGATAGAGCAGTTGAGACCAGAGAAATGACATGGCTTAACATTTTTTAAAGTACCCACTCTGGCTACTGTGAAAAGAACAGTCTATAGAGGATAAAAGCGGAAACAAGAATAGTCAGGAAGCTGCTGGGATAATCCACAGGGGAGGAGGTGCTGCCTGGGCTAGCATGGTAGTGCCGGAGGCAGTGCAGTGGAGGGTTTGGAATACATTGTAAAAATGCAACAGACAAGATTGCTCCTGTACTGGATATTGAATATGAGAAAAACAAGGAGGTCAACCAAGGCTCCAAGGTGTGATCTGAGAAATTGAGTAAAAGCTGGTACCATTTGTTGAGAGGGGGTAAACTGTTGAAAGGGCAGTTTTGGGGTGATCATAGGGAAGAGTCAAGGGGTTTGGATACGTTTTAGGGTCTTCAAGTTATGCCAGTAAAATACCATAGTTTACTCTTATATCCAATTGTCATTGTCTTCAGATTAAAAAGTTTTGAAAAGTTAGGTTCCTCCACACCAAAGACCTTTTTCCAGTAGCTCTGCAGGCATCCAGGAGAAGGCCTGCCTTTAGCACTGAAGTGGCTTTGAGGGTAGCTAGGATGTGAGTTCCTGTGTTGGACACCCCTTGTACTACACTTGACCTCCTCTTGGCTCAACTTTTATTCCAGCCTTTGCTTCAGCATCCAGATTTGTGCTGCTATGACCTGACACCTGCCTTACTATACTACCCTGGGCTTCCCTGAAGCCCTAGTGTGGGACACCTGTGGAATCCACGTGGGACAGACACATATGGACCTGGATGTGTGAAGAGAAGGAGCAATAGCTTCCTGATCTTCTAATGACCACAATGGTAATATGATCTTCAGCTCCATAGTTCCAGAGGCAGTCTCCTGATTTCCTAGCATCTGATGGTGCCAGAGGTAACAGCTCACTTGGGGAGTCAGTTCTATGATGTTTGGGGAATTAATCTAGTGGGTCTGAAACCCACTCCTCTAATGTCTTTAACAATTTGGTAAGCACCTACTTCTCTGTGTCAAATTCCTTTTTGCTTAAGATTTTAAGGCAGTAATTTTTTTTCTCTGAACTTTGGCTGATAAATGCAGATAATTCTAGTACTAGGTAAATATTACACTCCAAGAACCAGTATTTTCTGCACGCTGCATTGGGATCTTATCAGAATTGCTGGACATTTACACAACAGTTCCTTTCCAATAATCCCCAACCCAAAGGTAAGTCTGAGGACCGATGATTGCTAACAGAGCTCTGAAAAACAATCTTCCACAAACATCACCACAATCCCAGCCTCTGACACAACCTTGATTTCCCATCCTTGTGGTATCCACATTAAACATGCAAATACTGGAACTCTGTTTAAGACAGAAGGCTCCATATTCACTCCACAATTCAAAATACCTGATTTTAAGTTTCACTGAACAAGCAACTTAGCACATAATAAGCAGGTTTCCTAACCGGGGAAGAAAGTGTTAATACAGAGTGGGTCTTAAAGAGCAAGTTCCTTTAAGCATCAAATGTCTCCCCAGACCCTCGCCAAAAAAGGTCTATTGATTTGAAAAGAAAATCTGTTTGTTTGTATTACTCATGTTCTTATATTCTTAGCAAAATTTCTGGATATTAGTCCTTCTTAAAGATCCAATGTTATTACCATAAATTTCAATCATAATCTCAACTTCTAATGTAATAATTTTATCCTTAACACTTTTTTTTGGTCAATGTTTCAATGACTGTTACAGACTCTCCCTACAGTGACCTGACATACCAGATAATCAGACCTGCCAAATTCTCTGTAAATTGGAATCAGGAAGAGCTAAATGAGGCTCTGAGGCTCATTCCTTGTTAATCAAATCAAGTAAATAACTTCAGTGCTCAGGTGTCTTTAAAAAAAAAAAAAAGAACAAGTTTGGCTCATCAGAAGCTATTTTAGTTAATATTAGTATTTTTCATATCTTGAGCCATGATGGGTGGCTGTTAGGTTATTTCAAGGAATATGGCATGACTATGCACTAACTAGTATGCTTTGCACATATGGATACTATTAGTTTTAAATGTTTCAACTAATAAACTACAAACTGATCTAAAGAGTATCTGAATTCATAGCAAGGCTTGGTCGGTATATATTTTCTGAATAAATGGATACTAAATATACTACTACTATCATAGAGAGATGTTATGAGGCTTTTTTTTTATGTTAAGAGGGCCATAATACTCAGATATGTTAACAGATATTGTGCCAGAGGACAGTTTCCAAAAATGTTACTCATGAGTAATGTAAGAACACATACAAATTAAAAATAAGATGCTTAATCCTCTCTATTGGAAATAAAGAAATTTACCCCCCCTTCCCATTTTCTTAAGGCATTTATTTTAGAAAATTTGCAATTGTAAGTTCTTTCTCCTCTCTTTGAAATGAATATAAATCCTTTTGAAAACTCGATAGGCTTTTTGTCAACTTTATGCCTCAGGAATGTTTTTCTCAAAGACCTGGGAGCTATCTCTTTGAAATGTAAATATCAAGGGGCCACAGTGGCTCACGCCTGTAATCCCAGCACTTTGGGAGGCCGGGGCCAGCAGATCACTTGAGGTCAGGAGTTTGAGACCAGCCTGGCCAACAAGGTGAAACCCCGTCTCTACTAAAAATACAAAAATTAGCTGGGCATGGTAGTGGGTGCCTGTAATCCCAGCTACTCGGGAGGCTAAGGCAGGAGAATCGCTTGAACCCAGCAGACAGAGGTTGCAGGATCATGTCACTGACTCCAGCCTGGGCAATAGAGTGAGACTCAGTCCCCTCCAAAAAAAAGGAATTGATTGTAAACATAAAGGGAGTTAGCACCCCTCATATGGTTTGGCTGTGTCCCACCCAAATCTCATCTTGAATTGTAGTTCCCATAATCCCCACATCATGGGAGAGACCCGGTGGGAAGTAATTGAATCATGAGGGCAATTACCCCACTATGCTGTTCTTGTGATAGTGAGTGAGTTCTCATGAGATTTGATGGTTTTAAAAGGGCTTTTCCCCCTTTGCTCAGCAGTGCTCTCTCCTGCCACCTTGTGAAGAAGGATGTATTTGCTTCCTTTTCCACCATGATTGTAAGTTTCCTGAGCTCTTTCCAGTTCTGTGGAACTGTGAGTCAATTAAACTTCTTTCCTTTATAATTATCCAGTCTCAGGTATTTCTTCATAGCAGCATGAGAAGGAACTAATACAACCCCCCATCTACCAGTTTCTGTGGGAGGATATGAGATTATGTTCCATGGGTGCCTTGATCCAAGTTACAAATCTACCTCCTGTCAAAAAGATATAAGAAATTTGCTTTTCCTCTGGATAAAGCCAATCAGTTTACACAGATGGTCACCCCAATTACTAGATGAATCTATGTGATGAAATCTAGGATGAAATATGTATGACAAATGGTGTTATCTAGTCCTCTTACTTGAAGACTATTGAATATTTACCGAGAAAACATGTATGTGTGTGATGGATTACACATAGTGACAGTATAAAAGGGTAAGATTTTGTTCTGCTAGTTCTTTGCAAGCTTTTGGTGGATTGCCTGTGATAAGCATCACATTCTCATTTCACACTCATTCAGTAATAAAACTGTTTATTTCTTTACTACCTTAATGGAGAAGTTTTCTGGGTTGGGAGAAGATATTGTTTTTAATTATATTTCCTCAACAGTAAAAAGGAAATTACTCCATAACTGAACCCAGCATTTATCAGGCCAGCCCTGTGGATGAGCACTATCAGCAGGTTCCATTACAGAATTTCTACCATTGCTACTTGTCTCTGAGGTATCTTAAACAAAATTTGATTACTGTAATCACTGTTCAGATGTGTAACAGGTAGCTTTATGCTAACTTATGTACCTTTTGGACTTTCAATCTCTGCCTGTAATTATGGTAAGGCTGTGATGAGTCTTTCCTTTTTCCTTCATCTGACCACTGAAAGCCAGCCATCCTCAGTTCTTTGAGTTTACTTCCATTTACAGCCAGCTTCGATCTGAACATTTATTTTAAGCAACTATTCTCAGCTCCTGCCTGCTCCTCCTTATCTTTTTCTACAGTCCCAAATTATGGCCAAATTACCCTACAGGAGGTAATTCTCATCTTCATGCTTCAGAATTAACTTCATTTCAAACAGCATGTCTCTTACCTCAGTTTGAGATTAAGAATAACTTTCACGTTGAAAGAGATACTATGCACATGTATCCACGATTTCTTTTCAAAGGATGGTAGAAGGTCCGAGGTAATTCCACTATGCCTCAGGCATTTTTCTTTTATCAACAAATCAGGACTACATTTCAAGTGGCAATTATCAGCATTTCAACTGACTTAGTCTCTTGAGTTTTAGCTTCCTGTTTCCAAACTGTCACCAGTACTGTGATATCCCAGATTTAAGATGTCAGTAGTACTGATAGAGACTACATGGCACACAGTATGGTAGGTGATGTTTATTAGTGATGCCCCTGAACGTATTTCCCAAACCTGATTCCCAGACATAAGTAACATCCAGAACATCAGCTCATTTAATTGCACTGTTCTGTTAGGAAGTGACTCAATCACTAAGGGAAGAAAGAACCTGTGCTCTTTCAGAATTCACTGGCTTCTGAGTTGCATCACTCCAAGTGATTTAAATGATGCCCAGGGCTGCTTTTGTATTCAAGAAATATGTCTTAAGTTTAATGGGAGCCCCAGTAGACTATCTCATCAGGAAATTCTATATGTCCTTTTTCTGCTGTTAGCAACAATATTAATACAGTTGCTTGACAAGTAAATCTTTCTACTTCAAGATACCACATGTAAAGTTAAGTAAGGTTCCTTTTTTGCTTGTCTATAATTACAGAAAAAATTTCCAAAAACAGATCACCACAACATTTTTTAATTTTCTGTCAGTGATTCATGAACTAGCAATTGCAGCTCCATGGCACCTCAAAATGTACTCTGGTGCAGAGTGAAGGAAAGCCACCATTTTCTTTAACCTAGAGATTTCTCTCTCTCTCCGTTTTTTTTTTTTTTTTCTTTTGAGACAGTGTCTTGCACTGTTGCCCAGGTTGGAATGCAATGGTGCAATCTCGGCTCACTGCAACCTCCGCCTCCTCGGTTCACGCGATTCTCTTGCCTCAGCTTCCCGAGTAGCTGGGATTACAGGTGCACACCACCACACCCAGCTAATTTTTTGTATTTTTAGTAGAGACAGGGTTTTACTATATTGGCCAGACTGGTCTTGAACTCCTGACCTTGTGATTCACCCGCCTCAGCCTCCCAAAGTGCTGGGATTACAGGCATGAGCCACCGCGCCTGGCCACCTAGAGACTTTTCTTACAGCCATACCATTATGCTGTATGTACAGGCCCCTAGCAATGATGCTATCTAATGAATATCTGGATTCATTGAACCACTTTAAAGTGAACACAACAAAATTGTGGTAAAAAAAAAATCCTTATCATGATTATAAAACAATTATCAGAGTGAAGAGACAAACTACAGATTGGAAAAAAATATTTGTAAACCATACATCTGATAAAGCATGAATATCTAAAATATATAAAGAACACAAAGAATTAAATAGCAAGAAAACAAATAACTGGATTTTAAAATGGGCAAAGGACTTAAATAGACGTTTCTCTAAAAGAAGACATATAAATAGAAAACAGGTATATGGAACAATACTCAGCATCACAAATCATCAGGAAAACACAAATTAAAAACCACAGTAAGATATCACACCTCTTAGGGTGGCTTTTATCAAAAAGTTGAAAGAAAACAAGTGTTGAAAAGGATGTGAAGAAAAGAAA
Organism: Homo sapiens; assembly: GCF_000001405.40. Lineage (NCBI taxonomy): Eukaryota > Metazoa > Chordata > Mammalia > Primates > Hominidae > Homo > Homo sapiens. The sequence continues at coordinate 89,555,595 of NC_000004.12, read as the reverse complement.
ACCCTTGTACACTGTTACTGGGAATGTAAATTCATACAGCCATTATGAAAAACAGTATGGAGACTTCTTAAAAAATTAAAAATAGAATTACCATATGATTGAACAATTCCACTTCAGGTATATATTCAAAGAATATAAAATCAGTATGTCAAAGAGACATCTACACTCCCCTGTTCATTGCAGCATTGTTTATAATTTCCAAGCGGTGAGAATAACCTAAGTTATCAACAAATGCATGGTTAAAAAGTGACAATATATATAAAATGTAGTAGAATATTTTTCAGTTTTTAAGAAGAAGAAAATACTGTGCTGTCATTTGAATGTTTATGTTGTCCATAAATTCATATGTTGAAACCTAATTTCCAATGTGGTGGTACTAAGAGGTGAGGCCTTTGGGAGATGATTAGGTCTTGAGGGATCCACCCTAATGAACGGATTTCATGCCTTTAGAAAAGAAGCCTGAGTGAGCTTGCTTGCCCCTTATGCAAATGTGAAGACACAGCTAGGAAGGTGTCATCTTTGTAGCAGAGAGTGAGCCCTCACTGGACACTGAGTCTACTGGTGTGCTGGTTGGACTTCCCAGTCTCCAGAACTGTGAACAATAAATTTCTGTTGTTTACAAATTACTCAGTTTACAGTACTTTGTTATAGCAGCTCAAACAAACTAAGACATCCTACCATATGCTATAACATGAATGAAACTTGAAAAGATTATGCTAAGTGAAATAAGCCAGTTGCAGAAAGACAAATACTTCATGATTCCACTTACATGAGATATCTAAAGTTGTCATACACATAATTAAAAATAAACACAGAGAGTAGAATGGTGATTGTCAGGGATTAAGGGGGAGAAGAAAATGTGGAGTTGCTGGTTAATGGGCATAAAGTTTCGCACATGCGACATGAAAAGGTTCTAGCGATCTGCTATACAGCATTGTGCTTATACTTAACAACACTGTAATGTACACCCAAAATTGTATTAAGAGAGTAGATCTCATGTTACATTTTCTTAACCATACTAAAAAAGAATCAAAATGGATTAAAAACTTAAATGTAAAACCCCAAACTATAAAAACCCTGGAACATAACCTAGGCAATACCATTCTGGACATAGGCATAGGCAAAGATTTCATGACGAAGATGCCAAAAGCAATGGTGACAAAAGCAAAAACTTGACAAATGAGGTATCATTAAACTTAACAGCTTCTGCACAGCAAAAGAAACTATCAACAGTGTAAACAGACAACCTACAGAATGAGATAAAATATTTATTAACTCTGCATCTGTCAAAGGTCTAATATACAGCATCTGTAAAAAAATTAAACACACTTACAAGGAAAAAACAAACAAACAAACCCATTAAAAAGTGGGCAAAGGACATAAACAGATACTTTTGAAAAGAAGACATACATGCAGCCAAGAAGCATATGAAAATAAGCTCAATATTACTGATCATTAGAGAAATGCAAATCTAAACCACAATGAGATACCATCTCACACTAATCTGAATGGCTATTACTAAAGAGTCAAAAAAATAACAGATGCTGGAGAGGTTATGGAGAAAAGAAAACACTTATACACTGTTGGTGGGCATGTAAATTCCATTGTGGAAAGCTGTATGTTGATTCCTCAAAGAGCTAAAAACAGAACTACCATTTGACCCAGCAATCCCATTAATGGATATATACCTAAAAGAATATAAATTGTTCTACCATAAAGACATATACATGCTTATATTCATTGTAGCACCATTCACAATAGCAAAGATGTGGAATCAACCTAAATGCCCATCAATAACAGACTGGATAAAGGAAATGTAGTACATATACACCATGAAATACTATGCTGCCATAAAAAGAATGAGATCATGTCTTTTGCAGGAACATGGATGGAGCTAGAGGCCATTATCCTTAGCAAACTAACTCCATAACAGAAAACCAAACACCACATGTTCTCACTTATAAGTGGGAGTTAAATGATGAGAACTCATGAAGATAAAGAGGGGAACAACAGACACTGAGGCCTACTTGAGATTGGAGGGTGGGAGGAGGGAAAGGATCAAAAAAAGTAACTATTGTGTACTAGGCTTGGTACCTGGGTGATGAAATAATCTGTACAAAAAAACCCCATGACGTGAGTTTACCTATATAACAAACCTGCACATGCACCCCTGAGCCTGAAATAAAAGTTTCTTTTAAAAAGAAAGAAAAATAAATCATCTTTGTGACCACTATAGTTCAAACATAATTGCCATAATGATGAGTTATGAGGTATGACCACTACCCACACATATAATATGTAGCTAATAATGATGGCCAAGTTTCTCACCTTCCGTTCATGCTTCACAACGAAGAGTGTTTTAATTATGAAAAAAGAAGTCGAAAAATCATAGAGCTCTTTTATATGTCTCAACGAATAGTAATACTTAATCTTGCAGATTTCCTGGGTAAAATACATGTAATCTATTTAAAGCATAAGATCAATTTCTGATTCACAGTGGGCATAAAAGAAATGGCAGTTATCATACTGAATAAATATATTTAATAGTATATATATTTTTTTGAGACAGAGTCTCGCTCTGTCAGTCATGCTGGAATGCAGTGGCGCAGTCACAGCTCACTGCAGCCTCGACCTCCCAGGCTTAAGAGATCTTCCCACCTCTGCCTCCAGAGTAACTGGGACTACAGGTGTGCATCACCATGTCAGGCTAATTTATTTTTATTTTTATTTTTTGTAGAGATGGGGTTTCACTATGTTGTCTAGGGTGGTCTCAAACTCCTGGGCCCAAGCTGTGTAAGGAGGTGACTCAATTATAAGTGGAAAAAATAACAGAGATTTACACAGTAAACATAGACGTGTTTCTATAAGAGGCACTGGCAGTACTCAAGCCACTTAAAGTTATTTTAACATGTACTGATTTGCTTTGTTTTTCAAAATAATTTACAGCTTGACTTTCTGAAAAAACATTGATCTTTCAAATGCCATTGTGTATAGGTGGTACTAAACTTTTGTTTCAGCGTGGGTATTAGCAAAATCTGGTGTTACCTTTCAGCTTTAGATGAATAGTTAAATGCTACATGTTCAGTTCTGGCATCTATGAACTCATGTGTGATCAATGGATACATGATCATGTAGGTAACCTTTCTACCTAGTTATTTTAACACATTAAAAATATCAATAAGTTGCTGTGACACTGCGGTACATTATTGAGACACTCATTCTTCCTGCAGCCAGGAATGATGAGTGCTGAGGCTCATTGCTGAGTCTTTTTCTGTAAGTTGCCCTCACTGAAGAACCTGCCTTGCCCAAGATTACATTCTCCCCCTTGTGAGCAGATTACATCCAATAACTGCTTGAAGTCGGGGTGCAAAGGCCTTGGCCCCTTGACTCAACTGGTATTCTAAATAGTCATCTCAGCTTCTGGATCCCCTTAGGATCAGCTGAGGCTGCTTTTGCAACTGCATCACAGTTTAACTTTTCTCTGTGCCTAATCCTGCTTTCCCCATCCCTCACAAGTATTGCATATGAGCACTCCCTATGAACCTCCTATTTGCAAACCTCAGTTTCTCTCCCCAGAGATCCTAACTTACCGTATAAATGTAAGGCATGTTGTTTAGATTTATTATTTTAACTAACATTTTATTATGTAAATTTCCAAAAGAAGAAAGGTTTTTAAAACTTTGTATCATGTGTCTACCACCTAGATTCTACCATCTATATTCAACTTTACTTTATCAAATGTTTGTTCACTTATCCATCTTTGATTATCTTTTTAACACCTGAATACTTTCTTTAAAATATTGGTAATCATCATAAATGTAAAATTGCAATGAAAATGGACTTTAATCAAAAATAGGCTACATGTTATCAAGATATTTTGAACTACCTTATCTTACACTTATATAAGATGTTCAACCAAGATAGAATGAAAGCTAATACACATCCAAAGACTGAGCAAATAAAAGCAAGCCTTATTACATACTTTGCAGGTAATACCACCACAATACCAATATCTTCAGACATACCAACAATCAAGGGTTGCTTTCACATCTTTCCTTTGCTGAAGTCTGCTGAATAAATCAAACAAATATGTCGTGAGGTGTGAGTTTTTCTTACATGATGCCTGCTGTACATACCCCCCAGTCATTCCTCTTTAGAGAAATTGCTGAAATGTCATGTTTGCCAATGAGAGGCAGACAGAAATCTGAGTGCCAGCTAAAAATTCCGGAACAATATTGTCATTCTAAAAGCCAAGCATATTGTTCTATTGCAAAAGTTCTAGTCCAAAGTAAGGACAATTTTTCCCAAGTGATTGAGTGGAGCAGCAAATGCCTGTGAAAATAGTAGATATAAAAATATCAGCAAGAGCCAAAATTACAAGACTGTTTCTGAAAATATTCCGAAAGAATGTTTAGAAAACATCTTTTTCCAGGTAGACAGAGAGTTTGTGAGGCTGCATCATTGGCATCATTTTATCATCACCATCCCGCTCAGGAGCTCAAGAAGAGGGGAACTGAGTCAGTTAGAATTACAGAGGTAGGGAAAGTTGAATAATGGTTATATTGCTACATCATCTGTACCCTAGGCTGCAGGAGCTAGACCAAAGAAGTTGCTCCTCCTCTAGCCTCAGTGGAAAATGAATGCCTATTTATAGTCTCACTAATGTATAATATAATTACCATAGGAGCAAGCTATCAGGTGTTAATGCTGAAAAAAATGTTTCTGTGCTATAATGTCAAGTTTTAAAATGCAATTTCTAAAATTATAACAAAAGTTGAACAATTAAACTTTATTTAATAACAGTTCAGATTTTTGTTTTTACATGTTGTTTCTATAACATGACATCCATGTTGACCAACTGTCGACTTTAACATTTTCAGCATTCAGCAAAATGTGTATTCAATACACCTCTACTGAATTTGATAAAGATTTGTTTTCTTTTTGTTGAGATGCTGTTCTATTTCTATGTTGAAATTAAATTTTATATTTTTATATTTGAAAATTATATAATATTCCTAGGGAATCCTTTTCCACCCTTTCAAGTACTTTTAAAAAGCACTCTTAAGATTCAATCCCTCAATTATCCATTTTGGAGTTAACACAAGCTTCCATAAATTTTTTAAAAATCTATTTTATTATTGGAAATATGCACTCTGATTTCAGACCTTGTATGGACTTATTTTGGTTTTGAAACTTTTATCAAAATATATATTTTTACCTTCTGTAGACTGCATAGTTTGTACAAAGTTCTATTCTTATATTTTGTTACTATAGACAAAAAGTCAAAATTACATTTTGAATATATGGCTTTACTAACTAAATATGGACAAAAGAGAAATAATGAACCTGTGAGAGAAATGGAATGTTTGTGTGATGGGCCAGATGCTGCTGTGTTCATTTGCACAATGAGCCCTGACTCACTTGTTTATTAGAAGCAGGTACACATCTAGGCAGTGGCTTATGTCCATTTAAAGGCAGTTATTAGAAACAGCTAGAAAATAATTCATAACTCTCAAGAAAGAAATTAGAAAAGAATGCCAGATGGAAATGAATCACATGAAGGGCAAAGGGCATCAGGGTAAATTATAAACATAGTGCAATTTGCCAGTTTAAGCAGGAAACAAAAAGAGAAAGGAAAAAGAAAGCTTTCGGACACAAAGTAAAACTCTGTTGTCCAAAGTGAGATTCTTTCAAGTTAAAATGTGATTATCCCATAAACAGCTAAATGACCCTAAATATAGCAGTTTTATTGATTTATATATTTAAATTAATTATGGCTCATGCCTGTGATCTCAGCACTTTGGGAGGCCAAGGCAGATGGATCACTTGAAGTCAGGAGCTTCAGACCACCCTGGCCAACACAGTGAAATCCCATCTCTCCTAAAAATACAAAAATTATCAGGGTGTGGTGGCGCACACCTGTAGTCCCAGCTACTTGGGAGGCTAAGGTGGGAGAATCGCTTGAACCTGGGAGGCAGAAGTTGCAGTGAGCCGAGATCGTGCCACTGCACTCCAGCCTGGGTGACAGAGTGAGACCCTGTCTCAAAAAAATAAAAGACAAAAATGTATATATTTATTATATACAACATGATTCGAAATACATTTACATTATGGAATGGTTAATAAAGCTACTTAACATACGCATTATATCATATACCTTTTTTGGTAATAAGAATAATTAAATCTACTCTCTCGGTGACTTTTCAAGAATACAATGCATTGTCATTAACTGTAGTTAACCATGTTGTAAAAATAGGACTCTTGAACTTATTCTTCCTAATTGAAATTTTGGATCCTTTGGCAACATTTCCCTAACTCCCCACCCTTTCCAGCCACTGGTAACCATCATTCTACTTTCTACTTGTATGAGTTCAACTTTTTTAGATTCCATATGTAAGTGAGATCATATAGTTATTTGTCTTTCCGTGTCTGGCTTATTTCACCTAATATGATGTCCTCTGGTTCATCCATATTGTTGCAAATGACAAGATTTCCTTTTCTTTTAAGGCTGAATAGTATTCAGTTATGCATGTACATGACATTTTATCTGTTCAGCTGCTGATGGACACTTAGGTTGTTTCCACCTCTTGGCTATTGTAAATAGTGCTTCAATGAACATGGGACTACAGGTATCTTTTTGACATACCAATTTCATTTCTTTTGGATATATACTCAGTAGTGGGAATGCTGGATGATATTGTAGTTTCATTTTAAATTTTTTGAGGAATGTCCATAATGTTTTCCATAACACCTGTACACTGTTGGGGGGAATGTACTAACTCACATATAAGTACATGTAAGTAGTCTAAGTTAGTACATTCCCGCCAACAGAGTACAGGAGTTCCCTTTTCTCTAAATCCTCACGAACACTTGTTATCTTTCATGATTTTTGATAAATGCCATTATAAGAAGTGTGAGGTGATATCTCATTCTGGTTTGAATCTGCATTTCCCCGATGATTAGTGATATTGAGCATTTTTCCTATACATATTGGCCATTTGTATGTCTCCTTTGTATGTCTCTGGAATGCAGTGGTGTGATCTCGGCTCACTGCAATCTCTGCCTCCCAGATTCAAGCGATTCTCCTGCCTCAGCCTCCTAAGTAGCTGGGATTACAGGCGCGTGCCACTACACCCAGATAATTTTTGTATTTTTAGTAGAGACGGGGTTTCACCATGTTGGTCAGGCTGGTCTCGAACTCCTGACCCCGTGATCCACCCTCCCCGGTCTCCCAAAGTGCTGGGATTACAGGCGTGAGACACTGCGCCCAGCCTGTGTGTCTCCTTTTGAGAAATCTCTATTCAAGTTCTGTGTCCCTCTTTTAATTGGGTTATTTGTTTTCTTGATATTGAGTTGTTTGAATTTTTTACATTTTGGATATTAATCCTTTGTGAGATGTCTGGTTTGCAAATACTTCCTCATTCCATAGGTTGTCTGTTCACTCTGCTGTTTCTTTTGCTGTGCAAAAGCCTTTAGTTTGATACAATCTCTTTTGTTTATTTGTGCTTTTGTTGCCTGCACTTTTGGGGTCAAATCCAAAAACTCATTGGCGAGACTAATGTAATGGAGTTTTTCCCTATGTTTTCTTCTGGTAGTCTTGCATTTTCAGATCTTATGTTTATGTCTTTAATCCATTTTGGGTTGACTTTTGTATATCATATGAGACAAGGGTATAATTTCATTCTTCTGCATATGGATGTCTAGTTGCCCTAATACTACTTATTGAAGAGACTGTCCTTTCCCCATTGTGTGTTCTTGGCACCTTTGTCAAAAACCAGTTGACTGTAAATGTGTGGATTTCTGGACTCTATTCTGTTCCACTGTTGTATGTATGTATTTTTATGCCAGTTCTATGCTGTTTTCATTACAATAGCTTTGTACAGTATTTTGAGGTCAGGTAGTGTGATGTCTCCAGCTTTGTTGTTTTTGCTAAAGATTGCTTTGGCTATTCAGGGTGATTTGTAGTTCCATATGAATTTTAGAATTGTTTTTCTATTTCTGTGAAAAATGTTACTGGAATTTTGATAGAGATTGTATTGAATCTGTAGCTTGCATTGCGTAGTATGAACAGTTTGACAATATTAATTCTTCTAATCCATTAACAAAATGGAATTATCTTTCCATTTGTTTGTGATTTTTTCAATTTCTTTCATCAATATTTTATAGTTTTCAGTATACAGGACTTTCATCTCCTTGGTTAAATTTATTTCTAAAGTTTTTGGAGCTATTGTAAATGAAATTGTTGTCTTGATTTCTTTTTTCAGATTGTTTGTTGTTAATGTGTAGAAATGCAACTGATTTTCATATGTTGATTTTGTATCCTGCAAATCCCTTTACTGAGCTTGTGTATTAGTTTTAACAGTTTTTTTTGGTAGGGTCTTTAAGGTCGCATATATATAAAATAATGTTGTCTGCAAACAAGGACAAAATATCTTCTTTCTTTCCAATTAGATATGCTTCATTTCTTTCTCTTGGCTAATTGCTCTGACTCGGACATCCAGTACTATGTTCAATAGAAAGGGCGATGAGTGGGCATCATTTTCTTTCTTCTGATCTTAGAGAAAAAGCTTTCAACTTTTCACCAGTGTGATATTGACCTGTGGGTTTGTCAAATATGACCTTTGTTGTGTTGAGATACATTCCTTTTATACCTAATTTGTTGAGAATTTTTTCTTATGAAAGGATGTTGAATTTTGTCAAATGCTTTCTCTGCATCTATTGAGATGATCACATGGTTCAGTCCTTCATTCTGCTAATGTGGTGAGTCACATTTATAGATATGCAAATGTTGAACCATTCTTATATCCCTGTGATGAATTCCATTTGATCACAGTAAATTATTCTTTTAATGTGCTATTGAATTTGGGTTGCTAGTATTCGTTGAGAATTTTTGCATCGATGTTCTTCAGGAATATTGGCCTGAAATTTCATTTCCTTGTCTGGCTTTGGTATCAGGGTAATGCTGGTCTCATAAAATGAGTTTGGAAGTATTCTGTTTTCTCCATTTTTGGGAAAGAGTTTCAGTAGGATTGGTATTAGTTTTTCTTTAAATGTTTGATAGAATTCAGTGGTAAAGGCTGCTCTGCTTATGGAGTAGTCATTCTTTATTCCTTTACGTTCCTAATAAACTTGCTTTCACTTAAAAAAAAAATCAGTGGTAAAGCCACCAGGTCCTACACTTTTCTTTTATTAGAGACTTTTTAATAGTAATTCAATCTCCTTATTTATTATTGTTTTGTTCAGGTTTTCTAGGTCTTCATGATTTAGTCTTGGTAGGTTGTATGTGTCTAAGAATTTATCCATTTCTTCTAAGTTATCCAATATGTTGGTATATAATTATTCATAGTAGTCTGTTATGATTCTTTGCATTTGTGTGGTATCAGCTGTAATGTCTTTCTTTCATTTCTGATATTTGTCTTCTCTCTTCTTTAATTTAGTTTGCTAAAGTTTTGTCAATTTTATTTCTCTTTTCAAAAAACCAACTCTTAGTTTCATTAATCCTTCCTATTCTTTTATGCTCTATTTCAGTTATTTCTGCTCTGATAATTATTCCCTTCCATCTACTAACTTTCAGCTTAGCTTATCCTTATTCTTCGAGTTCCTTTTTTTTTTTTTTTTTGAGGTCTTTCTTCTTTTTTGCCTTAGGTGTTCACTGCTATAAACTTCTAATCTTAGAATTGCTTTTGTTACATCCCGTAAGTTTTGATATGTTATTTATCTATATTTATTTGTCTCAAGATACTTTTAATTTCTTCTTAACTCATTGTTTGTTCAGAAGCATATTTGTAAATTTCCAAGTATAGTAATCAGGCCTTATTCAAGTTTCAGTTTGCCATGGTCAATATAGGTATGAAAATATTGAGATATTTTGAGAGAGAGAAAGAGACGACATTCATATAACTTTTATTATAATATATTGTTAAAATTGTTCTATTTTATTATATTTTTGTTCATCTCTTATTGTGCCTAACTTATAAATTAACTTTTATCATATGTATGTATGCACAGAAAAAAACATAGTATATATAAGGTTCTGGAGCTGAAAAATACAATGAACAAAGTGAAAAGTGAAACAGAGACTATCAGCAGCAGAATTAGTCAAGCAAAAGAAAGAATCTGCAAAATTGAAGATGAGTTATTTGAAAATATACAGTGAGAAGAGGAAAAAGAAAACCATTTTTAAAAATGAAGAAAGCTTACAGGAATTATGAGACAGCATCAACAGACCAAAAGTTTGAGTCACTGGCATTTTGGAAATCTGCAGCTTCAGGTATCCACTGGTGATTGTGGAATGTGTCCCACAGATAATGGAGGACTACTGTATCTTTTAATTTTCTGAAATTCTTCCTGTTACTCACTTGTAATTTCATACCATTGTGGTCAGAAAAGATACTTGATACCATTTCAATCTTCTTAAATTTCTTAAGGATTGTTTTGTGACCTAACATATAATATATCCTGGAGAATGTTTCATATGGACTTGAGCAGAATGCATATTATACTTCTGTTGGATGGAATGTTATGTATATGTGTTAGGTTTATTTGGTCTAAAGTTTAGTTTAAGTTCAACGTTTCCTTATTGATTTTTTGTTCGAACGATCTGTCCATCGCTGAAACTTATACGTTAAAGTCTCCTGCTAATTATTGTGTTACAGTTAGTCTTTCCTTCCAATCTATTTATATTTGCTTTACATATTTGGGCGACTTAATGTTGGGTGCATATATATTTACAATTATTTTGTCCTATTGATAAATTGATTCCTTTATTAATATATAATGACTTTCTTTGTCTCTTTTTACAGCTTTAGACTTAAAGTCTATTTTGTCTGATATAAGTATAGCTTCCCCTACTCTCTTTTGGTTTCCATTTGCATGAAACATCTTTTTCCATCACTTCGAGTCTATGTGTTCCCTTAAAGGTGAAGTGAGTCTCTTATAGAGCGCATACTGTTAGATCTTATTTTTTTAATCTGGTCAGGTACTCTGTATCTTTGATTGGTTAATTTAATTATTGCTAGGACTTACTATTGCCATTTAAAAAATTGTTTTCTGGTTGTTTTGCAGATACTTTGTTCTCATCTTCCTCTCCTGTTGTCTTACTTTGTGATTAGGTGATTTTCGGTAGTGGTATGCTTTGATTCCTTTTTATCTTTCACATATCAATTATTAGGTTTTGCTTCATGGTTACTGTGAGGCTTACATAAAACATCTTGTAATTATAACTGGCAATTTTAAGCTGATCATAATTTAACTTTGATTGCATTTAAAAATCTACACTTTTACTTTAGCCCCCACCCTACATTTTATATTTTTGATTTTACAATATGTATTTTTATATTGTGTATCCCTTAATAAGTTATTGTTTTTATTGCTTTTTTAAAAAGTTTTTTCTTTTAACTTTTATACTAAAGATATAAGTAATTTAACAATTATTATAGCATGAGAGTATTCTGAATTTGTGTATTTACTTTTAACAGTGAGTTTCATGCTTTCATATACCAATTAGCATCCTTGTCTTTTTGCTTCTTCAGGTCTTCCTTTAACATTTCTTGTAAGACAGTTCTGGTGGTGATAAACTCCCTCAGTTTTTGTTTGCCTGGAGAAGTCTTGATCTCTTCTTCATTTCTGAAGGATAGCTTTGCCAGGTAGAATATTTTTGCTTGGCAATTTTTCTCCTTCAGCACTTTGAATATATCATTTTGCTCTTTCCTGGCTTGCAGGATTTCTGCTAAGAAATTTGCCACACCATATTGGAACTACCTTATATGTGATTTGCTTCTTTTCTCTTGCTGCTTTTAAGATACGTTTTGCCATTGAATTTTCTCAATTTGATTGTAATATGTCCTGATATAGTCTTGTTTGGACTGAATCTAACTGAAGAAATTTGACCTTCCTATATTTAGGTATTTATATTTTTCTGCATTTGGAATTTTTTCTGGTATTATTTCTTTAAATAAACTTTCTACCAGCTTTGTCTCTGTCTTCCTTCTTGAATGTTAATGACCCAAACATTTGCTCTTTTGATACTGTCCAATAAGTCTTGTAAGCTTTCTTCATTCCTATTTATTTTTTCTTTTTCTTTTCAGTGCATATTTTCAAATAACCTATCTTCACAATCACAGATTCTTTCTCCTGCATGATCAGTTCTGCTGCTGATAATCTCTATTGAATTTTCCCATTTCATTCATTGCATTTTTCAGCTTCAGAATTTGTTTGATTTTCTTAAATAATTTCCATCTCTCTATTAAATTTCTAGTTTTGTTCATTTATTGTTTTCCTGCTTTCATTAAATTGTCCCTCTGTATTTTCTTGAAGCTTGCTAAGCTTCCTTAAAACAATTATTGTGAATTCTTTGTGTTGCAGTTTGTATATCTACATTTCTATGGGGTCTTTTTTGCGTTATTTTGGTGGTACTATGTCTACTTCGTTTTTCATGTTGCTTGTTGACTTGTATTTTTGTCTGTGGCACATTTGTAGAAGCAGAAATTTATCCTAGTTTTTGCATACTAGCTTTTTCTAGGAAAGCCCTTAAAAACCAGTCAGTCCATCCAGAGATTCTGGATAGACTGTCTGGTGTGGCCTGTGGGCAGGTTTATTTTTGAAGCTCTTGAGCAGGCTGGTCTAGATTGTGGGTTATCAGGTGGGGGTAGGTCTGGTGTCTGGGTCCTTGGGGTTGAGTCTGGAACCTGAATCCACTGGGACAGACTTGTTGATTAGGCCTATGAGGGCAGGCCTAGAGCTTGTATCCCTAGGGACCAACCCAAAGCCTTGATCCATAGGGGCTGACTTGGCACATGGGTGAGCCTTGAGCCTAAATCTAGAGGCACCAGAATAGTCCCAGCACTTGGGTCCACCAGAATGGACATGTAGCTTGAGTCCATGGGGACAAGCCTAGACCCTGAGTCCATGGGGGCTGTCTGGAGCCTGGGTCTGCAGGAGTCATCCTGGAGCCTCAATCTTTGAGGGCCAGCCTCACACCCAGGTCTGTTCAGGTGGGCCTGGACCCTAGGTTCACTGTAGCTAGGGCTTGGCCTTATACTGGGGCAAGCATAGAGCCTGAATCTGTGGGGGTTGGTTGGTCTGGAGCCTGAGATTGCAGTTGCTGGCCTGAAGCCTGGAGCCATAGAGACTGAGCTGGGGCCTAGAGCTGTGGGAAGTGGACATAAATCTGGGTCCACAGGGGCAGTCCTGGACCTGTGTCTATGAGGTCTGGCTCAGTGCTGGGGTTAACTGGTATGAGCTTGTACCCTGGGTCTTGTAAAGTAGGCCTGGACCCTCAGCCTAGTGGAGTGCATGGCCACAGGGTCCAGCCTGCAGGGTGGTATTGCAGGATCTGGCCTGGGACTGGGCAGGACTGGAGCCTGTGTCCTTGGGTGTCAGCCTGGTACCTGAGACTAGGGGTGCTGACTCAGCACTAAAGCAGGCCTGAAGCCTGGGACTCTGTGGGCCAACCTGTCTCTGGGCTGTTCTGAGCTTGGGGTTAGTTCTGGAGCCAATATCTGCAGGGGCTGGCCTGGAGGCTGGGCCCACTGCAGCTGGCCTGATGACTAGGGCTTTGAGTGCTGGCCTAGTGCTGGGATGGTCCTGAGCCTGCAGCTACAGAGGCCAACCTGCTGCTAGGGCAGTCCAGAGCCCATGACTTCCAGGGCCAGCTCAAAGAGATTGAGTGAGTCTTGGGGGCAGCCTCAAACTCTGAGGCCAATTAGGTTAGCCTGGTGGTGAGGTGGGCCTGCAGGCCCAGTCCAAGTGTGTCAGCCTGGGGTCTGAGGCCATAGACACCTGCCCAGTTCTGGGTTTTACTGTGGCAGGTCTGGTGTTATATTTAAGGCAAAATCCAGTGCACACTTCTCTCTCCTTCCTCCAAGTGTGGGTTTCTCTCTCCACGCTGTGCTGCCTAGGGTTTGGGGAGGGATAGTTGGATCATGTGAATCTGTCCTTCCTGCCCTCTTCAATGTGTCTTTTCTTATTTCTGTGCTACACTAAGGTGCTGTAATGTCTCACCCGGTTTCCTTAGCTCTTGGGAAGGTATTCTCTTGTGTGGAAAATGGTTCAAATTGATGTTTCCGTTGGGGGATGGGCACTGGAAAGCCCTATTCTGCCAACTTGTTGCCATCCCCTAGACAATCTAAATCTAAGTTTTAGTGACCCAGAGGGAGATCACAAATTCTAATTGCACTTTTATAGATAATTTTCAATGGAGCTGCTCATACTGAAGGTTGTAAAAATGACTTAAGGAGAGTGTTGGCATTTCACTACACTGTGGGTACACAGAGAGAAAAATAAATATATAAAAATATCTTGTTTTAGTAGCTACTGAGAGGAAGAGTATTTCATCTTGCCCTTGCCATAGTAAAGATGTAACCCCCTTTCTAAGTAAGGTATATTGGCTCTTATTTTTTAAATATAAGGTTTTATACACTGTACGAAAGAAACTGGAACTTTAATTTCTTGTTAAAAGCTAAACAAGTAAGTGGAATGACCTAAACTTTGAGATCTACATTGTGGTAAAATTATGCTTTCTCTTAACAGCTTTCTCATAATGAGTATTTGCTTATAATTTGTTGTAAGGGTGATAATAATTTCAGTTGGAGCCTCACTGGTAACCTTGCTCAGCCACACGACTGGAATGTAAGAGGCTGGGGCATTTTGGACAGCACAGATGTTAAACGTGAACACTACCTTCTCAGTAGCACAAATCTGACTACATCTTTAAGTCTCCAAGAGGTAAACTCTCCTTCTTCATAGGGGATTTCACATTTTCAGAGCAGATGCAATTAGAAATTCTAAGAGTACTTAGTCCCTGAGATTTAGCTTTTGTTGGTTCCAAACTCTGCCAGTTTCCCTCATCATTGTTAGAGTCATTTTAATTCCTTCACTTTTCAAATGCTGTGCCTGCCTCTGCCACAACACTCTTTGAAGTAAGTAAAGACAAATAAAGACAGTGCAAACACAATCCTCTGAGGCAAGAATGGATTCAGAAATGGATACATACATTAGACACTGCCTACCCAAGTGCTATAATTTGGGATACGATAGCAAAAGTTGTCCAAGCCCCCACCCTAAATCACCTTGGACAGCTGCCTTACCATCTGAAATTCTATCCCTAGGGATTCATTGGGCAGAAGAGTTCAAGGCAGAGCAGATCTTCTGTGGCACAGAACTGTATAGTTGGGAGGCCTCTGCAGGGTCTCCTAAAGAATTCACACATGCACCCCACAAGAGAATCAGCATTTGGTTTTCACTCAGAGGTCATCACCAGGGAAACTGTCAAAGTCAAGACAGGAAAAGAACAACCCCAATTAAATGAGTCATTTGACTGAACTTTTCTTTGCTTCTCACTTCTCTGTTCTTAACCCACCAGGAGAAAAAGAGCTTCAGGAAAGGGAGGATGGGGAAGAGTTTCTGCAACAGATCTTGATACTTTTCAATTCCAAGTCTTATGAGCCAAAATCTTGTTGCTGATGGAAGGAAGAGAAAGATTTAAATTGGATATAAGCTAGCTAGGTTGATGTCAAATAGCTGAGAGTGATGAGAAAGAATGGGATTTCCTTTAGAATGTCACTAAGGGATAGAAATGAAAATTCTACAGAACAGTTGAAGGAAATGACTTTTAAAAGAAAAAGAGAAACAACTTCATATCTGTGTCTCATCAAATTCACATCATTCATTAATCTGGCTACACATTGTTGTAAGTAATTCATATTTAAATTAGTTCGTCTAATCCTTTCCTCACTTAGTTTTCTGATGTGAAGTCACAGTGGAAATGGAACTGCTGATTAGGGAAGGCACAGAATAATTTTGAGGTATGAATGTAGTTTGGGTGAGACTGCCTGGATAATAATAATCTTGAGTCAGAGTTACCATGTGGCAGGCATTTTATGAGAATCTTTGGGAAAACTCACAACTTTGCAAAGTCACTGTTATTTACCCCAGCTTGCATGTTAGGAAAGCGCATCAGTGAAATCGTGTGACTCATCTAAATAAATCAGTCTAAGATAAGGACCTCAGATAGAGGGCATAATTACAAGGCCATTCTGCAGTCATTACACATATCATGTGGCCTCCAGAGGGGAGGAGGGCAAGGGTATTTTGGTGGTGATAGTGGGGAGAAAGAGAAGAGGAGGTGAAAACCCAGAAGAGAAAAAGAAAATAAACAGGATAAGTAGGAAGATGCTAGAAATAACATTTTACAACTTTACACTTACGGCTAAGGATGACCTGAAATATTTAACTTCGTAAAGGTTTATCCATGGAAAATCAAAGTACTAACTTTAAAACACATAACATTTTTGTGCCTTACCATTATCAATCTACTCTTGGTTCTATATAAATGTCTATGTTTTTCAGAAAGGAACTTGTATAAAACTAATATTTAATCACAAAACTTGCTCCAAGAAAGGTCAGTGTTTTAGTTCAGATAAGCTGTTTATTTCCATGTTTGGGAAGACCCAAGCCAAAAAACCAGAATGGAAAATGGAATGTAGCCCTAGTTCTTCCTGTGACTCGGGTTTATTGCAAGGATTTCCTTTCACTGGAAAACATCAGACATAACAATATTCAAGTATGCTCACATAAATACATTACTCAGCAGAGATAACATAAAATTATACACAATTGTGAAGAAACTTAACCTCCACTATCTTTCACTAATGCAGACTTATGAAGCCCTTTAAGTTCTTTTATATGAATACAATATAAAATATATTGGAATACCATTATTCTTTCTCCAGTGCCTAACCTCTTCCAAATGTCTGCATGCAAACACAGAACTGATAGATTGTATGTCCTCAGTGTGTATGCATACGTGCACACATGTTCATATATTTACATGTGCATGAATGGAAGATTCTAAATCAAGTGACTCAAGAGCTGAATATATCTCTGCTTTAGTATTTACTGAGTTACACTGATAAAACCTAGATGCCATACCAGAAGGAACTTCCATTAATGCACAATCACCTTCAGATATTTTCTATAATCTGACCATGAAAATAAACACCACTTCTAAAGGTAAGGCCCAAAGTGATTCAAGGTGAACCTTAAGAAAATAAAAAAAATTGTCATAATTAAACCAGGTGTCTAAAATATAGCCTGTATGTTCTGTTCAAACTATACTTCCCTGTTTAATTTACATGGAATTTTTCTAAAATGCTAAGTACTCCCTTTGTGTCTGCCCATCACAATAAAACAATTTGTTCTCTTAATCTAGGAACATGAGGACATGAGCAATAGAGGAAACCTGGAGGAAGAGGGTGTGGCATGTTGAAATTTAAAAAGAAGCAATGTGTATTTGCAAGTCAAACCAATATAATAAAACCAGTGGTTATTTTTTAATGTTTTCAATCATTGGAATATACATGAATTTTCACAATAAAGTGTGCTAAAGTATTCATATCTTTTAGACCATTATTTGTCCTCCAGTAAGAAATCTACAAAAAAAAAAATTGACTTTTATTTGAAACAACAGTACATCTGAGAATCCAAAACAGTGTATCTCCATGTCGCTCCAGCACTCTAATATTGAAGTGTTTCAACAGGATGTTCTTTCAAAAACAAAGGGGGAAATAGTCCACATATTGACTAGAAATATGTTTGGCAAATGTGGGAGAATAATCTATTACAGTGAATTAATCAGGGAATTAATTTTATACATAACAAGACAGCTAGAGGTAAGCCAAGAGTTGGTGCAGGTGTTAAAAGAAACAAAAACTGAAGCTCCTTCTAACTTTCTGCTTTAGACTTCTTTATATGCAAATTTCTCCTCATGATTGCAAGATGGCAGCTGTATCTTCAGGTATATCATCATTGTTCCAGGCAGAAAAAGGTGGAAGTTAGAAAAGCAAAAGATACATTCTATTTGAGTTTTTCACTTTAAAATAGTCAGGGAAACAATGGATTTCTTCGAAATCCTAGCTAGTATATTTCTAGTTATGTGACATTTACCAGAACAGGATAATAGAGCCAACTTTAGCACCAATGGAGTATAAAAGGTTGAGTATTTTTAACTGGGAACAAAAGTATCCCAATTTTCTTGCTGTTAGTGGAGAAAAAGTAGTTTATGGAGTTGGGTAGATAAATTTTGTTATTGTTACGGAAAAAATGATTTATGGAGTTGGGAAGGCAAACAGCAATGTTTGCCAAAAGTATAATGAATAGAGAGAAAAACTGCACTCTTAACAATGTAAAGAAAAATTACATGTTGGCTTTACTCTTATTTTTATGGCTCATAAGCAAACAAACAATAATTTGCCTATTTCTTAGTCCTGAAGTGGTTTATATTAATGCTATAAGAGAATCTCACCTCCCTAAAAGCAATTTCAGTTTAAAGAACTTGAAGCTTTTTCATCCAACTCTAGGTTCATTAGTCTTCCTAGACTCATTTCTTCTCCTGTGAATTGCAAATTATTTGCCTATTTATTCAGGAACATACCATACCTGAAGAAAGTCCTTTGGCTCAATACTGGCTTTTTCTTTACATACACACACAAGCACACAAAAAAATCTAGCTTAATTGCCAACTGGTATCTAATCTTATTTCAAAATAACTCATAGTCTTTTACATGAATATATGTCAATACGAGGGAGATGATGATTTCCCTTTTCCAGGACAGAGGATAGAATTGTGTAAGTGTCTGATATCACAGTGATATTAGGAGGACACAAAAAGTCACTTTATGAGTATTTTCTTCTCTTAGGTCTGTCATAGCAAAATACCACAGACTTAAGTACATAGACACTTATTTTTTCTTAGTACTGGAGGCTAGAAGGCAAGGATCAAGGTATTAACAGGCTTGGTTTCCTCTGGGGCCTCTCTCCTTGGCTTGCAGATGGGCACCTTCTCTCTGTGTCCTCATATAGTCTTTCCTGTGTGCACACACATATCTTTGTGTTTTCCTGAGGGTTCAAAGAGAAAAGTTTTTCCTGTAATGTTTTACCTAATGCTTCCCAGAATAGAATTTAGAGTCAGACAAACCTTGGTTTTAATGCAAGCTCTGATTATACTAGCCATAAAAGCTTGGCCAAAATAACTAACTTCTTTGTACCTCAATTTCCCCATTTATGGCATGAAGGAAATCCACTGGAGTGCTTTTGCTGATGGCCCCCCATTGGAGTGCTTTCGCTGGTACTTGTGTTACTACACCAGAGAGCTTTTGCAATAGGATCCCACTGCCCAGCCAGAGTGCTTTTGCAGGGGGCCCCCAGTGCCCCACCAGAGTGTTTTTGATGATGGCCCCTCATAGGAGTACTTGTGCTAGCATCCCTGCTGCCCTAGCAGAGTGCTTTCAATGGATGCCCCATCACCCCACTGAAGTGCTTTAACAAGAGATTCCTGCGCCCCCACAGGAGTGCTTTTGTCAGCAGCCCCTGACATAGCAATTTTGCCAGCAGCCTGGGAGCACCTTGACCCCTCCAATGCAGCTTGTCCTTGACCTCTGTGGGGATCCAGAGGACAAACCCATGTGCCTAGTCCCAGCCCCCCAGAGTTAGATCACACAGCCCAGGAGTGCCAAGCTGAGCCTTGGTCCTCTGAAAGCATCCAGAAATGAAGACAATCAGCTACATCCAAATTACACCATAGTCAAACCCTCAAGGAAATAAAGAACATAAAAACAGAAAGCCTCATCCAAAGGACAGCAACTTCAAAGGATAAAGAAATATCAGCTTTCACAGATTAGAAAGAACCAGTGTAAGAACTCTGGCAACTCTAAAATCCAGAGTGTCACCTTACCCTCAAATGATCACACTAACTCTCCAGCAATGGTTCCAAACAAGATAGAAATGGCTGAAATGACAAACATAGAATTCAGAATCAGGATGGCAAGGAAGCTCAATGAGATACAGGAGGAAGTTGAAACCCAACCCATGAAAAAGAGTAAAATGATCCCAGAATTGAAAGACAACATAGCCATTTTTAGAAAGAACAAAACTGAACTTGTGGAACTGAAAAATTCACGACAAGAATTTCATAACACAGATGGAAGCACTAACAATGGAATTGACCAAGCTGAGGAAAGAATCTCAGAGTTTGAAGACAACTCCTCAAATCAATGCAGGCAGACAAAAATAAAGAAAAAAGAACTTTAAAAAACTAACAAAACCTCTGAGAAATACAAGATTATGTAAAGAGACCAAACCTATGACTCATTGACGTTCCTGAAAGGGAAGGAAACAGGAGAGAGAGTAAGAAACTTGGAAAACGTATTTGAGGATACAGTCCATGAAAATTTCCCCAATTTCACTAGAGAGGTTAACAGGCAAATTCAACAAACTCAGTAAACCCCTGTGAGATACTATACAAGATAACCATCCCCAAGACACACAGTCATCAGATTCTCCAAGATCAACATGAAAGAAAAACATCTTAAAGTCACCTAGATAGAAGTCATAGACCACCTACAAAGGGAACCCCATTGGGCTTACAGCATACCTCTCAGCAGAAACCTTACAAGCTAAAAGAGACCAAGGCCTTATTTTCAGCATCCTTAAGGAGAAGTAAGACCAACCAAGAATCTTAATATTCTGCTAAACTAAGCTTCTTAAGAAAAGGAGAAATAAAATCCATTTCAGACAACCAAACTCTAAGGGAATTTACTAGTGCTAGACCTGCTGTATAAGAGGTTCTTAAGTGTGTTTTTGTGGTGGCATGTTTCTTTTGCTTCCATGTTTAACATTCCCCTAAGTACACAGCCCACTGACACTATAAAGAAACTACACAATAAAGTCTAATCAAGCTAACAACACAATGATAGGATCAAATCCTCGCATGTCAATATTAACCTTGAATGTAAATGGGCTAAACACCCTAATTAAAAGACATAGAGTTGCAAGTTGGATAAAGAAGCAAGATCCAGGCCAGGCATGGTGGCTCACATCTGTAATTCCAGCACTTTGGGAGGCTGAGGCAGGAGGATCTCTTGAACCTAAGAGTTTGGGACCAGCCTGGGAAACATAGTAAAACACTGTCTCTACAAAAAAAAATAAGAATAATAAGTTTTTAAAATTATTAGCTTGCAGAGGTGGAAAGAGGTGGAATTTATGACTCAGTCCCAGAAACAATTGAAACAAAAACAAAAATTGAGAAGTGGGACCTAATCAAACCAAAGAGCTTTGGCATAGCAAAAGAAAGAGTAAACAGACAAACTACAGAATGAGAGAAAACATTTGCAAACTATGTATCTGATGAAGGTCTAATATCCAGAATCCATAAGGAATTTAAACAATTGAACAAGCAAAAAACAAATATCCCCATTAAAATAATGGGCAAAGGACATGAACACACTTCTCAAAGAAGACATACATGTGGCCAACAAACATGAAGATAATGTTCAACATCACTAACCATTAGAGAAATACAGATCAAAATCACAATGAGATACTCTCTTAGAACAGTCAGAATGGCTATTGTTAAAAACTCAAAAAATTACAGATGTTCGTGAGGTTGTAGAGAAAAGGGAATGCTTATAGTCTATTGGTAGGAATGCAAATTAGTTCAGCCACCATGGAAAGCAGTTTGGGAATTTCTCAAAAGAGTTTAAAACAGAGCTACCACTTGACCCAGCAATTCCATCACTGGGTGTATACCCACAGGAAAATAAACTGTTATACATGCACATATATGTTCATCACAGCACTATTCACAATAGTAAATACAGGGAATCAACCTAGATGCCCATCAACAGTGGACTATATAAAGAAAATGTGGTACATATACATCATGGAATACTATGCACCCATTAAAAATGAGATTATGCCCTTTGCAGTAACATGGATGTAGCTGGAGGCCATTAACCTAAGTGAATTGATATAGGAACAATAAACCAAATACTACATGCTCTCACTTTTAAGTGAGTACACACAGACACAAAGATGGGAAAAATAGACACTGAGGACTACTACTGGGGTAAGGGTGGGAGCAAGGTGAGGGCTGAAAAACTAACTTACAGGGTACTATGCTCACCACCTGAGTCACAGGATCATTCCTACACCAGTCTTCACGAGATGACATGCAACTTACCTATGTAACAAACCTGCATGTGTATCCCCTGACCCTAAAAGTTGAAAATAAATAAATAAAATAAATATAAAATATCTACCTTTTAGTGTCACAGAATGATTAAACATCAGAATATATATACATATATATGCATATATATTGCTTAGCACAGCACCTGGGACACCTTGGGATGTAATATTAGCACAAAGAGGCTAAGAGATCTCCTTTGGGAGGCAGACTCTGACACTCACTAACTTAGTGACTCTGGACAAGGTCTGCAACATCCTCTACCACACTTTCCTCATCTCTCTCTCCCTTTCCCTTTCTTTCTCTCTTTGTGTATGTGTGTCTCATCACTCATTCTGAAGGAAGCCATTGACATGTCCTAAAGACTCAGGTAGCCTATGAACAGACTTACTTGGCAAGGAATAAAGGTCTCCATCTAACAGCCAGTAGGAACTGATGCCTGCCAACAATCATGGGAGTGAGCCTGGAAGTGGATCTTTCAATTGCAACAGAGTCTGAGGGTGACTGCCAGTGAAGCTAGAAGTTCTCCTGCAACCTCACGAGAATCTGAACCAGCCAGTCCGGAAGACCTTTTGGATCCCTGGCCCTCAGAAACTGCAGATTATAATGAATAAGTGTTATTTTAAGTTGCTAAGTTTTGTGGTAATTTATTACTCAGCAGTAGTTAACTGTTTTCCCCCTACAACATTGAAGATAAAGACAAATAACCAGGTAGACAGAAAGTCTTTTTGTTTTTCTCAGATGGCTCCTACACTTTCCCCTGGGAGTTTTTAAACATTATTAACCTTTATTTATAAAGACTTCAGGTTTGGAACAATTCTCACAAAGTGAAAAATCTGGTCAACATGATGACTCCAGACCCTTTTTTCATTTATTTTCATATCTGTAAAGAAGGAATATTTTTCATCACAGATTATATATGGACTGATAGAAAAGCCTGATGTAAAGTGAATCCAAGAGTGGGAAAAAACCCTTAAGGTTAAAGTAATGTTGTACCAACTTGGGAATTTTATAAAAATAGCCTGTGTCTATAATTTTATTGAAAACTAGACCAAAGAAGCAAACCAAAATTGAAAGCATTGAGTTATTACTTTCCTGCTCTGACAGCACAAAGAAATCATTCTATATCTAGAAGGGCCCTCAGGCTTTCTACTGACTAAATTGTACATATGATAAGGCTAACTGAACATGACATTTTATATGATACTGACATTATACTGAAACTAGTCTAGAAGCCAGTTTTTTTTTTAATGCCACTGATTTCCTTGGAGAAATAATAGAAATAATCTTCCAAACTGTTACTTTTTTTTCTCCACCCTTGGTACCTTTCCAAAAGGGCTCCAGCTTCCCTTTAAGGCAGACAATGGATGAGATGATTTGGGCTTTTCGATGTATTGTTGCTTGTTTGGCAATTAGCTCCTTATCTCTTGGGAAATGTAATTTGGAATGATGAGATCTTTTAATTTCATATCATGGAACATAGATAGATGTAACCAGAATGCCCAGACCTATCCTTGTCAGAGGGCTGTGGAAGCACAAAAACACCTTTGTAGTCCTGAGAGCAGCATCAGAGCCCATCAATGACCTGTCACAATTTCACCTGTCAAGACCCTTGGCAAAGGCATCACCGTATTGAATCTTTCCCTGAGATCTTAATCTGATAAATTATTTGCCTTTCCCCAACCCCAATTACTTTGTCAGTGTATTTATTCCACCATTCTGTTATTCTACCTGTTAATATTGTTGTTTGTATACTTGTCTTTATTTCACAAAGATGAATTGCCAGTAATTTTGCTTGACTTTGGGAATACAATTACAAAGGAGATATACAGTTCCTTAGCAGGACAAAGAGGATGCCACAGAGATCCTCACAATCCAGCAGAAACATTCTCCTTTCCTATCTTCTTTCAAAATATTGCCTGTCTCACCCCCTGTAACAGTCAGAGATAAACATTGAGAAGGGGACTATAATTAAAACCCATTACTCACCTTTCTGTAAGAAATCATACAGATGAATCGCATCATATTTAAAACATTCTTCCATAGACACAAGAACTCCTAGTCTTCCAGTCCCCTATCTCTACCTCTGTATGTATAGCCCCCTAAGCTTACTCAGCCTCCCATCCTGAATGTCTTTGTGCTTCCACTGTGCCCTCCAGTATGGCATCTGCAAAAAAGCCTGTATCCTCAAGTTATCTGAATGATCCTATAACTTTCTTGCTTAGCCAAAACCAGCTGAAGGTTTGCTATGCCCTAATGACATTACTTTTCCCACATGGTCACAAATGGAGAAAGTTTGTTCTCCCTCTTTACACAGAACACTGGGAGGAGGCAGGTTGGTGTCCTCCTTGTTCTCTATTACAGCTTCGAAATTAATGTTCCTCCCCTCGCCAAAAACAAACACACAAAGAAACTACATGAAACATATGCCATCTGACACCACATTTCATTTTCACAGATATCTACCATCCACCCAGGCAGTTCTTTTTCTTTTTGTTTTCTTTTCTTCTTTTTTTTTTTTTTTTTTTTTTTTTGGAGACAGAGTCTCACTCTGTCACCCAGGCTGGAGTGCGGTGGCGCAATCTCAGCTCACTGCAACCTCCACCTCCCAGGTCCAAGCAATTCTCCTGCCTCAGCCTCCCAAGTAGCTGGGACTGCAGGCACATGTAACCATGCCTGGCTAATTTTTGTATTTTTAGTAGAGATGAGGTTTCACTATGTTGGCCAGGCTGGTCTCGAACTCCTGACCTCAGCTGATCCACTCACCTAGGTCTCCCAAAGTGCTGAGATTACAGGCATGAGCCACCGCACCCAGCCCCGCCCAGGAATGTCTATATTTATTGATGATTTTAGCACTTGTCTCCAAGTCCTTATTCCCTCAGAATTTCTGTTATTGTTCATGGTGACTTTAATATCTCTAGATGATTCACTGAAACTTCTCACTCTGCAGGTCCTTAATTCTTTCCACGTCCAGTGTCTTACACTGATGTTCATGGTTATATCTTAGACCAGAGGGTGGACAAACTATGGCCCATAGCCAAACTGAGTCCACTGTCTGTTTTTGTAAAGACTGAAAATGAAGGATGGTGTTTATATTTTTAAGCAGAACACAGCCAGGTTCATTCGTGTATATATTGTCGATGACTGCTTTCATGTTCCAACAGCAGAGCGAGTAATCGAGACAGATTTATTGCCTACAAAGTGGAAAATAGTTACTATCTGGTCTTTTACTTAAAGGTTTGTTGATCCCTGCCTCCTAGACCTTCTTATTACCGATAACTTCAACACTCAAATCTTAAACCAGCTTAAGTATAGATAAATAAATACATAGATAGATAGATAGATAGATAGATAGATAGATAGATAGATAGATAAAGACTTATTGCAGGATTGCAAGGCTACGGAGTAGCTAACAGACTAAAAAAAAAAAAAAGGAAAATCTAAAGGAACTATAACAGGGAAATCACACAACATTCTTGTCCCTACTCCTCTCTGTGGGTTGTTTATTGCCTTAACTTGTGGACAATTTTATCCACCAGTAAGTTGGGATGGGGAAGGGCAATCATGGATCTAGTATCTGTTTTGGGTTTACATTGTCCCAGTTTAGTGATCCAGAGGGAAAAAAAAAGAGCTTCTCTTTTTACTTGGTCATATAAAATTCCAGGGAAGAAATCGAATTGTCCTGGCTTAAGTCACACACCATTTGATAAACAACCCCAGTTGTATGGATAGAGTGTTATGATTTGTCAGACTAGGTCATATGAGCTCCCTGGTGGCTGGACAGGGGTTTGGGTGGCAGCATACCCTATGGACATTCCTACAATAACTACAAAAGGTGGTTAAGGAATATATTCCAGAACACAAGTGAGGGTACGTGGTGCTCCTACCAGAAGAAGGGGGAAGGGATTAATAACCAATCCTCTCCCTCCCAAAAAAGATATCCACTCTATTTTCTTGTGAAGATTGTAGTCTTTAGGTGCTTTATCCTTGGGCATTTAAAGGAAAATATAAATTACATAGAATTTTTAATGACAATGAAATAGACATTACAGGGAGGAGACAGAGACCTGCTTGAATTTCTAAATGCCCATTTAGTCCCTATGTAAGGGATGCTAAGCAGTGTTGGGCTACAAGTTAACTTCTGCTAAAGGTGGAATTTGCTTGATATTCATAAAATCCTGGAACCCTTGGTTGGCACGGTGCACTTGGCCTTAGGGGCGCATCTGGGATCATCTGCTGTGGGCGGGATGGAACAATTATTTTAAAGAAGGTGGGAAATACTCTAACACCTTTTTATAAGATTGTTAGCAGAAATCAAGAGTCTTTGGGGGCACCGTGCTACATCCTTAAATATACAAAAGGACAAGTTTCATCCAATTTCTAATTATGTAATTTTTAGATAAAAGAGCTTCTCCTGGAAATTCCCAGATATTACAGGTCTTGTCTATTCTTGCAAAATGTGTTAACTATGTGTAAACTCTCAACTGAGTATAGCCACACATAGCCTTATAGTACCTTACTGAGGCACACTAATTACATACAGCCTTTAACACTATCTATGCCTGAAAGAAGAAAGAACTATCAGAAAGGAATGTAGAGTTTCCTGCCTATGAAAGATTTGCTGTAATTCTCTTCTGAATTGGCCCTTACTTGCTAGTATAGAAATCCACACATAACTGCAATGTGATGGGACAGGATAGTCCCATCCTAACAAAGGAGAAGGGGATATGGTTCCTTCCGTTTTCCCCCCAGAATCCAGTAGGGGAGCATTAGGAGAGGAGGGCCGCCACACAAACCACAGCACAGCAGAGGACGCAACCACACTAGAAAAGTCTTTGATGAAGAACACACATCAGACATTTTACATATAAACATCAGTAAGCTCAACCACAGTGAGAGGAAACAGGTGCCTTAAAAGAGGAGACAGAGGGTTTGTGGCATTTTGAAGAAGTAGTTAGACATGAGTCTCACTTTATTGGATATTCTTTAAAATTTGCTTGAAACTTTGAAAGCTTTCAATAATTTTCATGTCCGAGGGAGGGGAGAGTTGGTTTAATAGAAAATTATAATTGTTCCTTTTTGTGTGAACTGAAAGGGTGTTTTCATGATGAAAGTCATCTTCATTTGGTTTTATAAATTTAACTTAGTATACTGATGTTTCTTTAAACAAGAAGCAAATGATATATATATACATACATATGTTCATTTGCTTAAATGAACATATATATGTTCATTTGCTTAAATGAACATATATATGTTCATTTGCTTAGTATAAGACAGACATATATACATATATATTCATTTGCTTATAGAATATATATATATATTTACTTTAAGTTCTGGGATACACGTGTAGAACATGCGGGTTTGTTACATAGGTGTACATGTGCCATGGTGGTTTGCTGCACCTGTCAACCCATCATCTAGGTTTTAAGCTCTGCATGCATTAGGTATTTGTTCTAATGCTCTCCCTCCCCTTGCCCACCATCCTCTGACAAGCCCTGGTGTGTGATGTTCCCCTCCCTGTGTCCATGTGTTCTCATTGCTCACCTCCCACTTATGAGTGAGAATATGTGGTGTTTGGTTTTCTTTTTTTTTTTTTTTTTTTTTTGAGACGGAGTTTTGCTCTCTTGCCCAGGCTGGAGTGCAGTGGTGCGATCTCGGCTCACTGCAAGCTCCGCCTCCCAGGTTCACGCCTTTCTCCTGCCTCAGCCTCCTGAGTAGCTGGGACTACAGGCGCCCGCCACCACGCCTGGCTAATTTTTTGTATTTTTAGTAGAGACGGGGTTTCACCGTTGTTAGCCAGGATGGTCTCTATCTCCTGACCTTGTGATCCACCCACCTCAGCCTCCCAAAGTGCTGGGATTACAGGCATGAGCCACCACGCCCTGCCGGTGTTTGGTTTTCTGTTCCTGTGTTAGTTTGTTGAGAATGATGGCTTCCAGCTTCATCCACGTCCCTGCAAAGGACATGAACTCATTCTTCTCGTGGTTTTTTTGTTTGTTTTTGTTTTGAGATGGAGTCTTACCCTGTCTTGAAGGCTGGAGTGCAATGGTGCAACCTCAGCTCACTGTAATCTCCGCTTCCGGGGTTCAAGTGATTCTCCTGCCTCAGCCTCCCGAGTAGCTGGCAT